>NC_000009.12:67588260-67754406 GCF_000001405.40 Homo sapiens
AAGAATTGTTTCAAAATTTCTTTTCCATCTTTTGAAGGGTGATTTCACAATTAATCATTAAAATGTGTCTTAAATATCTATCTTTAGTCTTGATGCTTAATTTAAGAACCTATTTTTGTTTCTCTTTTATCATTTAATTCCATGAAGAAACAGGTAAAAGTTAAACAAAAGACTAGATAATACTATACACTTTCCCTTCTCAGTCATTTCTTGGATGAGACAAATCAAAGTTAGGCAAGTAGTCTAGGAAATTAATAGTACAATGTTATCTGTGCCTCCAAATTAAGCCCTTTTTATCTCCAAACTGGATTCTGGCAGGCCATAGTCAAGGGCCTATTTATTTCTTTTTCCCTGAATTTTTTGTTCAGATGCTGTAATTTAAAAGACTCATGTTCTTACAGATTCAAGAATAGCCAAGTATTTTACTTGAAAATATCTGTCAGGCCAACATTTTATTTGGGAGCAGGAGTGAAAACTTCTGATCATGATTCTGTGACATGTAGATATCATGTAGTATAATTTAATTGTATCTTTCTGAGATTTTGTACTTACAAGTTTCATAGAAATCCATTTACAAATGAAAGGTTTTAAATTTGGAAACTTTTATTGGTTACCACTTTGAGACAATTAAACAAACTAAAGAACCATGGAAACATGAAGTCTACACACTAAACTAGTCAGTGGCCTACTAACTAAAAATGAAATTAAATTTTCTGGCAGCAGCAAATGGATTAAAATGAAAAAAGAAAAGCCTGGAACCTGATGATAGCTTTACTGCTGAATATTGCCAGACATTTAAAGAAGAACTAATACCAATCCTACTCAAACTATTCCAAAAAATTGAAGAGGAGGGAATACTTCCAAACACATTCTACAAGGCCAGTATTACCTTTATGCCAAAGCCAGACAAACACACAACAGAAAAAGAAAACTACAGGCCAATATCTCTGATTAATGTTGATGCAAAAATCCTCAACAAAATACTAGTAAATCAAATTCAACAACGAATTTAAAAAATCATTTAATATGACCAAATGAAATTTATTCCAGGAATGTAAGGATGGTTCACCATATGCAAATCAATCAGTGTGATACAACATATCAACAGAATGATACATCATATCAACAAAAACCATATGATAATTTCAAATAATTCTGAAAAAAATTCAATAAAAATCTACACCCTTCATGATAAAAAAAACTCCAAAAAAGATTGGTAAGGAAGGAATGTATGTAAACATAATAAAGCCATATACAACAGTCTTACAGCTAGTAACATTCTGAATGGGAAAAAACTGAAAGCTTTTCCTCTAAGATCTAGAAGAACATAAGGATGCCCACTTTCACTTCTATTATTCATCATAGCACTGGAAGTCCTAGACAGAACAATTAGACAAGAGAAAGAAATAAATGGCATCCAGATTGGGACAGGAAAAGTCAAATTATTCTTGTTCACAGATGATATAATCTTATAATTTAGAAAAACCTAAGGACTCCACCAAAAAATTATTAGAGCTGATTGACAAATTCAGCAAAGTTGCAGGATACAAAATCAGTATACAAAAAACAGTAGCATTTCTATATGCCAACAGCAAACAATCTGAAAAAGAAATCAAGAATGTAACCCAATTTATAATTGCTACAAATAAAATACATAGAAATAAACTTAACCAAAGAAGTAAAAGATCTCTATAATAAAAACTGTAAAATACTGATGAAGGAAATTGAGGAGTACACAAAGAAATGGAAAGATATTTTATGTTTATGGGTTGGAAGAATCAATATTGTTACATCCATACTGCCCATATGGTAAGACTGTTGTATATGGCTTTATTATTATGTTGTCTATGTTTCCATTATATCTTTTAATTAAGATTTTAGGCCCGGCGTGGTGGCTCACGCCTGTAATCTCAGCACTTTGGGAGGCTGAGGCAGGCAGATCATGAGGTCAGGAGTTTGAGACCAGCCTGGCCAACATGGTGAAACCCTGTCTCTACTAAAAATACAAAAATTAGCAGGGCGTGCTGGCGAGCACCTGTAATACCAGCTACTCGGGAGGCTGAGGCAGGGAGAATCACTTCAACCCGGGAGGCAGAGGTTGCAGTGAGCCTTGATTGCACCACTGCACTGCAGCCTGGGGTACACAGCGAGACTCTGTTGCTTGACCGATAAAGGTACACGCTACAAACACATGGAGAAAAACGTGCAGAGCTATTCGTGCAAGAAATTAGTGGCCATTTAAATTCCTCACTTACCAACAAAATAATAGATTCCTTCATCCTAAAGAGTGCAAGTGTATTTTAGGTCCATGCCATAAATATTTAAAACTATCTCATCTTACTGAAAATTTATATAACACATGACCTTTGCAAAATTGCAACCTTTATTCTTCAAGCAAAACTTGGTTTCTGCTGGTCACCACAATGTGCTTCTTTTGGACACCATGTATAACTGAGATTGAATTGTAACTGTTAGCAGTGGAGAAAGCCTGCGGCAAATCAACTCAATTGAATTTTGTGTTCACAGATGCTTTGAGTTTTACGGAGTCTTATATTCCATTTTCAAGTGCATCATTCAGGACACAGGCCCATTTTCCATATCCCAGATCACCCAACCAGTCCAGGGCTATTTCAGAAACTTTCCTGAGCATATAATATAGACCAACGCTAGGTTGTAAACTAAGTATAAAATTCTAAGCCCCCCCAACCAACTGAACAGAAACTTCTTGGCCAAGAGGACCCCAGAGAAAACTGAAAAGCTGTTTCTGGCCCTGAAAGAAAGGGAGGTCAGACACACCTCATCATACCTCCTCTGTTTTGGAGTTTGGACTCAACAAGTAACCAGCAGCGGTGTTAAAATAGAGATCCTAAGACTGACAGAACAGACCCCGTGTGGCCATAAGATAACAAATTATGAACAAGCCCTAAGGCCATGCAAGGCAGGTGTAAGTCAGGCCTGCAGGCCATCAGGCTTGCTAACCAGGGCATTTTATTGTGGCTGACTCTGACAGAGCATTCTTACCTTCCTTTCTGTCAACTCTAAGCTGTAGACAGGGCCTTACTCCTTTAACCAATCACAAACCAGAGAATGCCCAAGTCCACCTACAACCTATAAGACCTCTCCTGAAGATAATCCCCCTTTTTGAACCGAACCAGTGTATACCTTCCATGTGTTGATGTCTTTGCCTGTAACTCCTGCCTCCCTGAAATGTATAAAACCAAACCAACCCGGCCACCTCGGAACCACTTACTCAAGCCTTCTTGGTTGCGTGTTTTCTCCAGGCCTCAGTCACTCATATTGGTTCAGAATAAACCTCTTTAAAATATATTACAGTTTGTTTTATCCATTAACAAAGTCAAGCAATTAGTTCTTAGATCTGAAAATATAACTATTACTGCACTAAAATAGATTAATGAAAGAGGATATACTAGATACAGGAATATGAATAGCACAAAATGTGGCACATTTGTGGAACACAGAAAAGGGATTCTACGAGTTAGCCAGTTAAAATAACTAAGGCCATGGCCATTTCACATCCCAGGTCCAGAATTTGAAAGATCAAAGTATCTCCATAAAAAAATATATATTTTCCCCTTCATGCTTGAAAATGCAATAGGCAATGTTATAGTAAAGTCAGGAAACATGAGTCTGTCTTATTTCGTTTCGGACCCTGAGTTGGCTGTTTCACATCTTTCCACAAATTCACAGGCGTGACTTTAACTATCACTCATACCCTGTACTTTTTTTTTTTTTTGAGACGGAGTCTTGCTTTGTTGCCAGGCTGGAGTGCAGTGGCGATCTTGACTCACTGCAACCTCCAACTTCCCAGATTCCAGCGATTCTCCTGCCTCAGTCTCGCAAGTAGCTGGGATTACAGGTGCATGCCACCATGCCCAGCTAATTTTTGTATTTTTAATAGAGACAGGCTTTCAGCGTACTGGCCAGGATGGTCTCGATCTCCTGACCTCTTGATCTGCCCACCTCAGCCTCCCAAAGTGCTGGAAATAAAGGAATGAGCCACTGCAACTGGCCGCCCTATTTACTTTTAAATATATATTTCCAGTCCAGACTTTTCTTCCACGCCCATACTTGAATATTCATGCATCTTCTGAATTGTTTCCACTTGGATTTTTCTCAGACACCTAAAATTCAGCCTGTCATCAATTCTATCCATCATTCTTCCAAATCCTCTTCCTGCCCCTGAGCTCCGCCTCCAAATGCCTAGCAGCATCATTCCCTCCTGACACTTCCTTCTTACCACCCCCCACCTATGCCCTCCTGCCACAATTAAGCCTCCTACACCAGATGAGCTCTTTTCCTTTAGTGACACCACTGGCTTCCAGGGTCTGGTCAGCTGTCCGGCAGGATGCAGCATAACCCGGACTGGCCCAGCATGAAATTCGGGTGTGGTGTTTTGTGCAGCAACACTCACAGGAGACGCTGTCCTCTGCCCGTCACAGCAGGGGACATGTCAGCTGTCCCTCCCAGGTGATGCTACATCCAGTCATGGGGGAAGGACTGTCGCCAGCTGCTCCTGCGTAAGTCCCCCTCCCCTTTGTAACTGGTGGTCCTAGGAGCGTGAATATCCTGTTCCCCAACAGCCCTTAACTCAATGGCTTTGGCACCCGAGTTAGTTGCCTGTGGCTGCTGTAACAGATTACCACAAACAACACAGGTGTGTTCTCTCCCATCTCTGTAGACCGGAAGTCTAAAATGGGTCACACCGGGCCGAGATCGGTGTCGGCAGGGCTGCATTCCTTCTACCAGTGTTCCTGGGTACATGTGTGGCCCTTTCCTCCGTTTCCAAACCCCATCCCTCCAAGCTCCGCGTCCATCACTGCATCCCCTCCTCAGGCTCTGACCCTCCTGCCTCCCTCTTAAAAGGACCCTGAAGATCACCAGGGCCCACCTGGATAATCCAGGGTGGCCTCCCCATCTCCAGGTCCCTCACTTAGCCACATTTGCAAAGCCCCTCTTGCCATACAAGGGGACCTGTGATTACAGGTTCTGGGGCTTAGGATAGGCACTTGCCTTGGGGATGCTATTCAGCCGACTTCAACATCCGCTGCTGATCTTCACCTGAATGGGTTCATTCCAGGGGGAGTGCACAAATGGGGACTTTCAAACCCATCGCCTCTCCCACGTTGGCTGGATTGTTCTAGGAGGAAGTGCTCCCTCCTTCTAGGGCCGCCATGGACTATACTGTTCATCCAATGCTCTTCATCCTGTCTCAAATTTGGCCACCAGAGCCCCTTCCACCTGGCCTTTTTGGCCTGTTGAGGCATCCCCGTCTGTCCTCAAGTGCATCCGCCCTCCTGGCGCGACGCGATCCATACTCTGGCTCATCCTGTGCCCACCTCCACCCAGATCTGGACTTAGGCCCCATTGTGCCACACAGCTTCGGAAACCACCCGTGTGCCTGTGTGCTTGGGTAGCACCAGTGTTAGCTCCTTTCAGTGGTTAGAGACAGAAAATGGATTTTTTTTGAATTATGAGTTATTGCTGCCGCTTCCGGTCCAAGCACAAGCCCCCAGGAACCCTCTTTGTTTCCCGTTCCACATCCCTATCTCCCGCCTCCCAGCGAGAGAAAGAGTCCTGGTTCCGAGGAGGACCACCAAGCTGCTGGGGGTGACCAGCCCTTAATCCACAGACAGTGGTTTCAGACGACCACAGCAGCGCTGCTGCTGCGACAAAACCAGCCTGCGACGCGGAGCTGCGGGTCCCCACAGCCAGAGGCCCCTTCGAAAGCCACTTCCATTCTTGTTTCCATCTGGTGTTGCTGTCAATTGTTTTAGGTTCATTGATTTCTGTTTGAATTCAATGTTCAATTTTTTTGTGCTTGTCAATTTAATTCTATTTCTGAACGTGTAAACATTTACGTGTTTCAAAAGTCAACACATATGTAAAGGATTCTCTGACTTCTCACTCCACCCAGTCCTCCCACCTGGTGGTTATTTATGTGTGTGTGTAGTTTCTGTATGTAGTTTACATGTGTGTGTAGCTCGTGTGTATGGTTTATATTGTGTGTACAGTTTGTGTGTGTGGTTTATGTGCATGTGTATACTTTGCATATATAGTTTATATGTGTGTAGTCTGTGTGTTTAGTTTATGTGTGTATAGTTTGCATGTGTAGTTTATATGTGTGTAGTTTATGTGTGTATATTTTGTGTGTGTGGTTTATATGTGTGTGTGTAGTTTGTGTGTGTATGATTTATATGAATGGGTAGTTTGTGTGTGAAGTTTATGTGTGTATAGTTTGTGTGTGTGGTTTATATGGGTGTGTATAGTTTGCATAGTTTGTATGTGTGTGTATAGTTTCTGTGTGCAGTTTATGTGTGTGTAGTTTGTGTGTGTGTTTTATATGTGTGTGTAGTTTGTGTGTGTATCATTTATATGAATGTGTAGTTTCTGAAGTTTATGTACGTGTAGTTTGTGTGTGTGGTTTATATGTGTGTGTAGAGTTTGTGTGTGTAGTTTGTGTGTGTGGTTTATATGTGTGTGTAGAGTTTGTGTGTGTAGTTTGTGTGTGATTTATGTGTGTGTAGTTTGTGTGTGTGGTTTATATGTGTGTGTAGAGTTTGTGTGTGTAGTTTGTGTGTGATTTATGTGTGTGTAGTTTATGTATGTGTAGTTTGTGTGTGTGGTTTATATGTGTGTGTATAGTTTCTGTGTGTAGTTTATGTATGTGTAGTTTGTGTGTGTGGTTTAAATGTGTATCATTTCTGTGTGTAGTTTACATGTGTGTGCTTTGTGTGTGGGGTTTATATGTGTGTGTATAGTTTGCATGTGTAGTTTATGTGTGTGTACTTTGTGTGTGTGATTTATATGTGTGTGTATAGTTTGTGTGTGCAGTTTACATGTGTGTACTTTGTGTGTGTGGTTTATATGTGTGTATAGTTTGTGTGTGTAGTTTATGAAAGTGTACTTTGTGTGTGTGGTTTATATGTGCGTGTAGTTTGTGTGTGTAGTTTATGTGTTTGTGTATAGTTTGTGTATGTGGTTTATATGTGTGTGTGTGGTTCGTGTGTACTTTGTGTGTGTGGTTTATTTGTGTGTGTATAGTTTGTGTGTGCAGTTTACATGTGTATACTTTGTGTGTGATTTATATGTGTGCGTATAGTTTGTGTGTGCAGTTTACATGTGTGTACTTTGTGTGGTTTATATGTGTGTATAGTTTGTGTGTGTAGTTTATGAATGTGTACTTTGCGTGGTTTATATGTGCATGTAGTTTGTGTGATTTGTGTGTGTGTGTATTATGTGTGTGTATGATGTGTGTGATATGTGTGTGTGTGGTGTGTGTGATTTGTGTGTGTGGTCCCCATGTGCATGTGTGGTGTGTCTGATGTGTGTGGTTTGTGTGTGCGGTTTAAGTGTGTGTGTAGTGTGTGATTTGTATGTGGTTTACATGTGCGTGTATGGTGCATGTGGTGTGTGATTGTGTGTGGTTTACATGTGCATGTGTGGTGTATCTGATGTGTGTGATTTGTGTGTGTGGTTCACGTGTGTGTGGTGTGTGATTGTGTGTGTGGTTTACATGTGCGTGTGTGGTGTGTCTGATGTGTGTGATTTGTGTGTGTGGCTTACGTGTGTGTGTGGTTTGCATGTGCATGTGTGGTGTGTGTGTGTCCCCTTACACCCCCTTCTCACCCACCTGCAGACGCCCTCGGCGCTGCACCTGCCACACTGAGCAGCCTGTCTGTCCTCCCGTGCTCCGACTCCCTGAGTTCTCCCCAGTCCCCCCAGGCCCCCTAGGCTCCCCAGGTTCCCCACGGCCACATGATGCCCCGCGCTGTGGCTGTTCCCATTTGCACAGCCCTGCCTGGTGAATGAGCACTCAGGTCGTTCCCAGTGTCTCGCTGTGACAAATGAGGCTGTGCTGCATCCCTCAAGCATGCACTGTTCCCTATTTGCAGAGGTGTCACCTCGGGGGAAATTCCTAGAAATGGAGTCGCTGGGTCAAGGGGCAAAGCCAGTGTAATTTTGTTAGCTACTGCCACCTTCCGCTCCCTCGGGTGAAGGACAGTTTCCCTCCTAGTGTCTGAGGGAGCCAGTTTCCCACGGCCTCCTCCACCGCAGTCGCGCTTTTGAATCGCTGCCAGTCTGATGTGTGAGAAACTGCATCTCTGCATAGCTTGTATTTGCATTTCTTTACTACGAGCCTCTTTCCCTATATTTCAGAGCCATTTGTAATCTTGTTCTACACACTCTGTCCATGGATTTTACCTACTTCTCTGTAGAGTTTCCAGGGTTTTCCCATTGGCTTGAGTGAGCCACGCACACAGGGAGCCAGAGGCAAAGGGGACGTGAGACCTGCCCACGGGAGGATCAAGGAGGCCCCACAGACGGCCTTGGGAAGCCCACCCAGCTGGGAGACAGTGGGCGCGTCGCCTTGGCTCTGGAAGCAGGGGGAAAAGCAGAAAAAGGTCACCCCAGGAAATTCCAGTCACAAGCCCACCTCAGGGGCAGTGTGGCCAGAACTCACGCTCACTGGATGACTGGAAAAACCCCAGGCCAAAAATTTAGTTTGAGGGAGTCCTGGCAACCCAAGCTTCTGGGAGAAGCAAAGGCAAAACCTTTCCAGAGAAAGGCGTTGGAAACTTGGACCTCAGAGAATCCTCGCAGACGGGGGTCCGGGGAACGCAGCCTTGCCACCTTACAAGTTACCCACACGCAGGAGAAAATCTGCCCTTCCCAGGACAGGAGCCCCCCGCAACGGCGTCTGGGAAACGTCAGGTCCACTCTGCCAGCCACAAGGCCCCTGGAAGCAGCGTGGCCTGGGTGCAAAGCAGCCGACACCTCACCCGCGCCCCTGGGCCTCCTGAGGAAAGAAAGCCCCAGGTCCCCAGAGTGCCTGTGTGGCCCCTCATCTCCCTGCATGACAGCCCCTTTGGCTGTGACCTGGGGGAAAGAAATTGAATTCCATCATTTGGGACTTTCACTTAAAACTCAAAGTTCTGAGCTTTGGCTTTTAAATGGTGAGGGCAAGAAAATGCATTTTCACTTTAAAGTCTAGCAACTGTAATTGGCAAGGGCGTTTGACCTACAGACTTCTTCGATCAAGTAATACAGGAATGGAAGAGCCCCCCACGTTTGGGCCACTGTGTGTCACAGTCTTGCTGTCACCACGGCAGTGCTGCAATGTCGTGTGACTGTGCAGTGGACACCGCTTGGGGCCGCCATGTGTCACAGTCTTGCCGTCACCACGGCGGAGCTGCAATGCCGCGTGACTGTGCAGTGGACACCGCGTGGGGCCGCCGTGTGTCACAGTCTTGCCGTCACCACGGCGGAGCTGCAATGCCACGTGACTGTGCAGTGGACACCGCGTGGGGCCGCCGTGTGTCACAGTCTTGCCAACGCCACGGCACAGCTGCAATGTCACGTGACCATGCAGCTGGACACCGCATGACTGTGCAGCTGGATACCACGTGGACGGCGGGTGGGAGGCATGAGTTCCAGCTTTGGCACAAAGGAGCTTTGCGTCAGTTTCATTAATCCTGGTGTAACCGCCCAGTGTGTTCACCTCACCGGCTGCCTAGACACAGCCGATTTATCAAGACAGGGGAATTGCAAAGGAGAAGGAGTAACTCACGCAGAGCCAGCTGTGCGGGAGACCAGAGTTTTATTATTATTACTCAAAAGGGTCTCCCCGAGCATTTGGGGATCAGAGTTTTTAAAGATAATTTGGCAGGTAGGGGCTCAGAAAGTGGGGAATACTGGTTGGTCCGTTTGGAGATGGACTCATAGGGGGTCAAAGTGAGTTTTTCTTGCTGTCTTCTGTTCCTGGGTGGGATGGCGGAACTGGTTGAGCCAGATGACTGGTCTAGGTGGTGTCAGCTGATCCATGAGTGCGGGGTCTGCAGAATATCCCCAGCACTGATCTCAGGTTTTACAATAGTGAGGTGATCCCCAGAAGCAATTTGGGGAGGTTCAGACTCTCACAGCCGGAGGCCACAAGACCCCTAAACCATAATTTCTAACCTTGCAGCTAATTTGTTAGTCCTACAAAGGCCGACTGGTCCTCAGGCAAGAAGGGGGTCTATTCGGGAAAGGGCTGTTACCAATTTTGTTTCAGAGTCAAACCATGAACTGAATTACTTCCCAAAGTTAGTTCGGCCTACGCCCAGGGATGAATAAGGACAGCTTAAAGGTTAGAAGGAATGTGGAGTCGGTTAGGTCTGATTTCTTTCACTGTCATCATTTCCTCAGTTATAATTTTTGCAAAGGCAGTTTCATGGGGGGTAAACCCAAACGGCCCCCTGCAGTCCTGGGAGTGGCTTCATGAAGGGGACCCCGACAGTTCTCCTCTCCCTAGGGGCGGCCCCCCAGCTCACCACAAGTGTGACCTCGAGGCCCTTGGGTAGGGCAACAAAAGGCCGGGGAAGGTGGGGGTGTCCTCCCCAACTCCCGAGCCTCCTTCCACGTGGAGAAAACTGACTTCTCCGACCCCTGCCTCTCTCCCACCATTTGTCACCCACCCCCACGCAGGGAGGGATTGGCAAATCCAGGCAGGGTCTGCAGGGCAGGCTGAGCTCACTCTCCGCTGCTACCTGCAGGGGTGGCCTGCTCTGCTGAACAGGTGGGGGCTCCCTGGAGGCTGGCCTGGGCTGCGCCTTTGGGCAGGTGGCCCCTCCACTCTGGGGTTCAGGGAAGGCCCCCTTGGCCTTCACTCTGAGCCACGTCCTCCGACCAGCCTCCATTGGGAATAGCGGGCAGCCTGGCATTACAGCCTCTGTGGGCCCCTCCTCTGGGCTAAAGTATTACGAATGATGTTTCATAACTGCGTTGGTAGAAAGATGACTATAGCCCAGGCTGCACTGTGTTTATTCTGATTTTAGAAGGCATTAAACCACTTTCCTGATGCCTAAAAGTCTTCTGGGCCCTGGCACTAAGCCTGCTACACCCTGTGAAAGGAAAATCCATCTCAGGCCCCAAAATTACCAAGCCAAGGGAAGAGTCAAGCTGGGTACTGCTCAGGCAAACCTGCCTCCCAGTCCACTCCTGAATAAGATGGCTACAGAGACTAAAAAGCCACCACCTCCCTCAAAATTTGCCCAGAAGGAAATTCCTCGTAGACAAATGACAGACAGGACCCAAAGCCATCCCTCTGCTCCCCTGAGACAAATCCATATCTGATGGCTTCCTCTGCCCTATTGTTGATATAAAAATACAGATTCCCTGAGCCAGACTAAATTGTGTTTCAGTGGGAGGCCGATCAAGGTCTCGAAAGAATGCAACAGTTTGTCTCTTACCTACTTATGACCTGGAAGTCCCCCACCCCCGCAAGTTGTCAAGCTGCCCCGCCTTACCTGACCAAACAAACGTACATCTTACACATATTGATTGATGTCTCATGTCCCCCTAAAATGTATAAAAGAAAGCATGGTGGCTCATGCCTGTAATCCCAACACTTTGGGAGACCGAGGTGGGTGGATGACGAGGTCAGGAGCTCGAGACCAGCCTGGCCAAGATGGTGAAACCCCGTCTCTACTAAAAATACAAAAACTTAGCCATGCATGGTACCATGCGCCTATAATCCTAGGTACTGGGGAGGCTGGGGCAGAGAATTGCTTGAACCCGGGAGACGGAGGTTGCAGTGAGCCGAGATCACACCACTGCACTCCAGCCTGAGCAACAGAGTGAGACTCTATCTCAATAAAATAAAATAAAATAAAATAAAAATAAAAGCAAACTGTACCCTGACCACCTTGGGCACATGTCGTCAAAACCTCCTGAGGCTGTGTCACAGGCCCTTACTTCACCTTGGCAAAATAAGTATTTTAAATTTATTGAGACCTGTCTCAGATACCCTTTGGTTTACAACCTGATGGAGGGGTTGGCATTGTTAGAAGGGTTTTGGGTTTCCAGCACCTGCCTTCATGCCTTACTTCTCGGTGGGCTCAGGACTCAGAATGGAAAAGAGTCCCAGGAGACCCCAGTAACTCTTCAACTCTTTTACTCTCACTGTTTTCTCTCCTTTACAGCAGACACCACTATCTGCAAAGGGTCCTTTTCGCTGCTCCTGCCTGCCAGGAAGCACAGCCTAGATGGCAGTGTCCATGACTGTCCTGAGTAACCACTGGGTCCCCAGCATCTCAGCTTCACAGCTGTTCTGTAAAGACCTTCAGACGGAGGGACGAGGCGGGTGGGTGGGTGGATGGATGGATGGATGCATGGATGGGTGGGTGGGTGGATTGATGGATGGATGCATGGATGGGTGGATGGGTGGATAGGTGAGTGGGTGGGTGGATGGATGAGTGGGTGCATAGGCAGGTATGTGGATAGATGGAAGTATGGGTAGATGGATGGGTGGATGGATGGGTCAATAGGTGGATGGGTGGGTGGGTGAATGGATGGATGGATGGATGGATGCATGGATGGATGGATGAGTGGATGGATGCATGAATAGATGGATGGATGGTGGATGGATGGGTGAGTAGGTGGATGGAGAGATGGGGGAATGGATGGATAGATGAACAAATAAGTGATGGATGGGTGGGTGTATGTATGGATGGGCGGGTGGATGGGTGGGTGGGTGGATGGATGGATGTGTAGATGGGTGGATGGATAAGTGGATGGATGGGTGAATGGGTGGATAAGTAGATGAATGGGTGGGTGGAGAAATACATGAGTATGTGGATGAATAGGTTACAGAGTAAAATGCCACCACCAGAGCAGTGCAACAGCGTGCTTTGCACTCAGCTCTGCCATGGAAAAAGTGGTTCCTTCCCAGGCTCTCACCAGGCTCACATGGGCTCCAGACCCCTGCACCCCCAACCAGACTGGGGACACAGGGACTGTCTGCTCAGCTCTGCATCCATGCACCTGGTCAACACCAAGTGAGTCACAGGGAACCAGGTGGCCTGAGAGAAGGACCCATGACAGATGGCCTCAGCCATGTCGCTAGGAGGCTTGGGTCCCAGTCCTGTGGCCCCACCAGCCAAGAGCTTGTGGACATTCAGAATCAGGCTTGTTGGTTTAAGCCCGGGCATGCAGCACCAAGACTGTCTGCCCATGGGCTCTCTGGGTCAGGCCCTGCCTGACTCAGTCCCTGCATCACCAGTGCCAGGCCAGGCACAGACAGGCTCAGTGGGGTGGGCTAAGTAGTGCTGGGGACCCAAACCAGGCATCAGAGGGATTGAGATGCCCCCAGGCTGACTCCCATTCAAGCGGGTCCCCCCGCCTCCCCCCGAGCCCATCCCCTCTGTCCACCTGCTGCCACTCTGACAGCTACAACCCACCCAGGCTTGGGGCTGCCTGGACTCTGCCTATAACTTCACAGGCTCACTCCCATGCTGTCCTTCACACCTGGAGAAGTGCCAAGGTTACCAGTGCCACAGAACAAACAGCTGCATGCACTCTGCACCCTGCTCAGCCATTGAGACAGCAGATCCTGTAGCTTTGGGCAGTTCCCACATCCTTCCAGTCCTGATCTTTCCCCTGGAAGCCAAGGAGCATTCAGTGCCTTCTCTACGTGCTCTTGGCCCCTGTCCACAACAAAGGCCACAGGTCCCTTGTTGTGGAACTATGAGTGAACCCAGCGTTCTCCCCAGGGACCCCAGCACAAAACGAGCTCTCAACACACATGAGTGAATAAAACTGTCCCAGAAAGCGGGAGACTTTACACAGTGGCTACAATGTCCCTAGTACACTGCCACAGTCCAGAAGGGAGAGAAGGGGCTGTGCACACCAGGAAGCCAGAAGCCCACATGCACCTGCCCAGGGTCTGTGCATGGAGCTCCGGCAGGTCCAATCTCTTGGCCTTCAGAATAATGATGTAAATACAGGGACAAAGATGGAGCAGGTGCCACTCAATGTGCAAACCCTCCCCCTTCTTCTGGTGAGGCCAGAAGTACCTAGGTAGGAGCAGCCCCTACCTCCGACCACCTCCCTCCCTGCAGTGGGAATAGCAGCCCAATCCCCAGGCTGCAGGGATCCACAGGCCATGCAAGTGTGGCTCTACCCCCAGCATGCCCTGGTGCGAAGCTATGCCCAGAGAGATGTTATCTGCACCCCAGACTGCCTGTGGTGCTGCAGAGTGGTGCTGAGGAGAGAGCAGGGCACACCTGGAGTCTGTATCACCTGCCTTCCCTAGGGAGTCTTGGGCCCTCTCCACATTCAAGGCGAGGGGAGCAGAGGATCTCCACGAAGACCCCCTGAGCACATCCCTTCTCTTTTTGCTGATAGACAACCCAAGGCTTAAGGGGCTTTGGAACCAAGACATGGTCACTGACGTTAGAGGAATGGCTCGCTCTCCCTCCTGCATCCCTACCTGGTAAGGGGGGGCAATTGACCCTTTCCAAAGCACCCTGGTTGCTGTAGGAAGGAGAATGGAGACATCAGGCTGAGCCCACTGGCCTCCCTCAGAGCTCGGGCTCTCCCCTGCAGACAGCCTTCCTCAGCAGCCGCACAGCTCAGGGCTTCTCCTCCCTGGGTGCCAGTAAGCCCAGGTAAGCCTCTGGCTGCCCAGCAATTCCAATACCCAGAGGGAGGAGCCAACAGGGCAGGCCATGTTCTCACCAAGCCATCTGCAGAGGGGTCAGGTCCACCCTGAGTCCTCCCTTCTCAGTAACAAGCTGCTGCTGTGTTTTCCATTGTCCCACAGCTGATTTGTCAGTCGGTGCAATCACAGCGAGGACAAACACTAATGCCCCTCCTGAGACCTCTCTTCCAGCTGATGGTGTGGACCTTGACTCCACAGCAGGTGTCTGCAGGCCCTCCAGCTGGCCCTCGGTAGCCTGGAGTGGCTCGTCCTGGACAGACTCACCGCTATGACGCAGGGGGAACTGCCAGGAGTCCCTGAGCGAGGTGATCTGAGAAATGCCATGGCAGTGTTCTAAGCCAGCAGCCTGGCTTACCCACAACCTCTCCGCTGTGTGACCTTGAGCAAGTGCCTTAACCTCTCTGAGCCTCAGCTTGCCCCTCTGTTAAAGAATGATCATATATGACACCTAGCAAGGTTATGTGGAGTATCAGCAACAAGGAATCCACTGCAGCCAGTGTTGCAGGTGCAACTGGCTGGGGCTGGTGTCACGGGTGGTAAAAGAATTTACCGAGACAGTCATGGGTAAAGAAAGTCTGAAGACACCTTGCAAGAGAACAGCAGGCAGCATGGCAGAGAGAAGGCCACCTCCCCAGGGGCAGAGGCCAGGGGGAAGTTTGATAGGGTCACACTGGAGAGGCGACATGCAGACAGGGTCATGCTGGAGAGGCCACATGCAAACAGAGTCACGCTGGAGAGGCCACATGCAGACAGGGTCATGCTGGAGAGGCTACATGTGGAAACGGTCACACTGGAGAGGCGGCATGCAAACAGGGTCACGCTGGAGAGGCCACATGCAGACAGGGTCACGCTGGAGAGGCAACAGGCAGACAGGGTCACGCTGGAGAGGCCCCATGCAGACAGGGTCACGCTGGAGAGGCCCCATGCAGACAGGGTCACGCTGGAGAGGCCCCATGCAGACAGGGTCACGCTGGAGAGGCCCCATGCAGACAGGGTCATGCTGCTGGAGCTAACGTGCAGAGCTAGGTATTTGGTAACAGGAGATTGTGCAAGCGGGCTGCTTGTGGTTATCCATTTCTTAGAACAATGGCTCTCCCCCACCCTAGTTCATGTTCTTGCCAGCTAGGGCCTGTGGTGCCATGGAGTTGTGCAGAGGAGGGAACCCCTTCCTCATTTCTATCAGCTGATCGGGACTCCACAGTTTGGTTTCGCTGCATATGACAATCCCAGCAAAAGAAGCATAAACAAGAAAGAAGCTGATTTCTTTCTGAAGGGAGAATCTGGGGATGACTGATTGAGGGTGAGGTGGCAGCTCCTCGATGTCCTCAGGGACCCAGATCCTGGCTGTCCTGCTCCTCATCCTCCACGCATGGTGTCTAGCCTCAAAGCCACTCCATGGTCCAAGGTGGCTGCTGGTGCTCCAGCCATCAAGACCACAGGACAGGTGGAAGGAAGCTGGAAAAGTACAGGGCAGAAAAGGGCCCCTCCCAGAAGTCCCAGCTGAGTCAGCTTGTTTTTAGCCATCTTCCTGGAAGTCTCCTACAGCACTTCTGCCTTTAACCCACTGGCCACGACTTAGCAGCTCAGCTCCACTTAGCGTCAGGGAGGAAGCTGGGAGATGCAGGTTTTCATTCCGGCCAGCTACATGCCCCGCCACGCATCAGGGTTCTGCTTCCACGGAGGAAGGGAAGAGGACCATGTCTGTACAAGAGGAGCTAGACCCACGATAAACATGAGCCACGCCAATGTTGTCAGCATCCCCAGAACAGCCGGCAACACAGCCTTACATCACACCCAACCTCCCACCAGCCTCCAGCCCTGGGCAGCGTCCTCACTGCACCGCAGCCTAGAGAGGGAGCCAGGGTGCAAAAGGGACAGAAAGGGAGAGAACCGGAGGCCAGGCTGACCCGAGCAGCCAGGGACAGAGGACAGACCGGGGAGGCAGATGGGAGTTCAGGGCAAGGAAAGTCTTGGGGGCTGCCTGGGGCGGGGGGAGGGAGATGTGGGGGGCAGAGGTAGGGGTGAGCTGCACCTGGGAGGGAACATGCACCCTGTTCCTAAGGAGACCCTGAGAGGCTTAGGGGAGACGGTAGCATGCAACAGCACCTGCTGCTCCCCTCTGCAGGAGGCCGACTCCACGGAGGACCATGCTCTGGCAGAGGAACCCAAATACGCATTTCTCCCACACCTCAGCCTCTCCTGGCCCCAAGGCAGGTACAGGCTCAGAGCTGGGGAACCGGCTGGAGACTTTCCTCTTTTTGCTGACTCTGCCCTGGCATATTCTGAGATACAGGGGTCAAGACTTCAACATATGAATTTGGGGGTCACAGTTCAACCCAGCAAGCTATACAGATCTCAAGGGTGTCACTCAGGGAGTTGACAAAGGCAGACTCCACCAAGATAAGAACCTGACCACCCCCGAGATATGTGCTCATCAGTCCCCACTGCACCCCCTCCAGAGGCGACTTTTCATTGCAGATCAGCATGACCTGTTCTAGAGCTTCCTACAGGCAGAGTCAGGCCGCACTGGCCCGCCCCAGCTCTCAGAGGCCCGCCATCACTGTGCACCCACACACCACCAGCTGTAACCCATGCACAGGACCTCAAGGTGGGCCGGCTCAGCTGCCAACAGGAGCCAGTGGTGCTGAGGTATCCAACAGGGCAGCACATGGTCCTCCCAGGAGCCGTGGCCCAGCACCTTCTGGCCGGAACAGCCATCCTATTCAAATAAACGAGTAACAAAAATGGGCATGCTCTCCACTTCCAAAAGCAATGCTGGCCAGGCACAGTGGCTCACGCCTGAAATCCCAATGCCAGAGGCGTTGGAACCAGAGCAACTCCATCTTGAACAGGAGCTGGGTAAAATGAGGCTGAGACCTGCCGGGCTGCATTCCCAGGAGTTTAGGCATTCTAAGTCACAGGATGAGATAGGAGGTCGGCACAAGATACAGGTCATGAAGACCTTGCTGATAAAGCAGGTTGCAGTAAAGAAGCCGGCCAAAGCCCACCAAAACCAAGGCGGCCACGAGAGTGACCTCTGATTGTCCTCACGGATCATTATATGCCAATTAGAATGTATTTGCTGCTAAAAGACACCCCCACCAGCACCATGACAGTTTACAGATGCCATGGCAATGTCTGGAGGTTACCTTATAAGGTCTCAAAAGGGAGGGGAGGAGACCTCAGTTCCTCTTCATCCCTTTACTTTCCTGATAAACTTGCTCTCACTTTACTCTGTGAACTCGCTCCAAATTCTTTCTCGCATGAGATCAAAGAGACCTCTCTTGGGGTCTGGATCAGAGCTCCCCCTTTTCCAGTAACACCAGCACTTTGTGGGAAAGACAGAGGCGGGAGGATTGAGTGAGGCCAGGAGTTTAAGATCAGCCTGGCCAACATAAGGAGACCTAAGTGCCTAACTTAAAAAAAAAAAAAAAGGCCAGGCATGGTGGCTTACGCCTATAGTCCCAATACTTTGGGAGACCGAGGTGGGCAGATCACTTGAGCCCAGCAGTTCGAGACCAGCCTGGACAACATTGTGAAACCTTGTCTCTACAAAAAAAAAAAAAAAAAAAAAATGAAGAAATTCCCAGGCACAATAGTGTGCACCTGTAGTCCCAGCTATTCAGAAGGCTGAGATGGGAGAATCGCTTGAGCCCAGGAGGTAGAAATTGCAGTGAGCTGAGATTGCGCCACTGCACTCCAGCCTGGGTGACAGAGGGAGACCCTCTCTCAAAAAAATAAAAAAAGAAACCCAGGCAGGCATGGTGGCACACACCTGTAGTCCCCAGCTGCTCCAGAGGCAGAGCAGAATCGCTCGAGTGCAGGCTGTAGGTCAAGGCTCTAGTGAGTTACGATTGTGCAACCGCACTCCAGCCTGGGTCACAGAGCAAGCTGCAGTCTTAAAAAATAAAAATAAAAAATAAAAGCAGTGCTATTTTCCTACAAATGAAGAAATCTCATCAGACAAATACTGCCACAAACCAGATGAAAATCATGATCTAATATTCCAACAAGAACTTCAGCTCCGAAGGGATACTACAGCACAGAATAAGAACAGAGGAGAATAAGCACAGAATAAGAACACAGGGAAGAGGTGGCCAAACGGCAGCGGAGTCTGTGGTGGGAAATGACAGAATTCAGGAAGGAAACTGAAGAAAAAGAGAAAACCATTTCAGAAATGAAGAAATGAAGTTACAGGTAATACGAGAGCACAGACACCACGGAAATCACATAAAAAAAGGAAAAAGTGAGCAAATAGAAAGAAAGAGGAAAGAGATTAAAAAGGATTAGAGAGAAAGTGACTATAAAAGACCAGTAAAGGGCCGGGCGCGGTTGCTCCCGCCTGTAATCCCAGCTCTTTGGGAGGCAAGACAGTTGGATCACAAGGTCAGGAGTTCAAGACCAGCCTTGCCAAGATGGTGAAACCCCGTCTCTACTAAAAATACAAAAATTAGCCGGGCATGGTGATGTGTGCCTGTAATCCCAGCTACTCGGTAGGCTGAGGCAGGACTATCCCTTGAACCCAGGAGGCAGAGGTTGCAGTGAGCTGAGATTGTGCCATTACACTCCAGCCTGGCAACAGAGCGAGACTCTGTCTCAAAAAAAAAAAAAAACAAAAAAAACAAAAAAAAAAAACAGTAAAGGGGCTCCAGTGTACATATATGATAGGCAAAACTCTAACAGATCGGAACAAGTATTGACTGCTTGATTTATGTGAGAGGTGATCTCATATAAGCTAGCGTTGCCCAGGCTGGGCTTGAACTTCTGGCCTCCTGAGTAGCTGGGACCACAGGTGTGCACCACAGCACCTGCTGAACAAGGATTGAAACTATCATTCAAGACCTCTTTATTGAAATGCAGGCAGACTTGCGCCTGCCTGTAAAAGCGCATGCTGTATACTTGTGTGTGTTGGCCCAGAACAGTCAACACAAAACATGCCTTTGTAAAATCACTGGACTTTAAAGATAAAGAAATAATCCTTTAGGCAGCCAGACAGAAAGACCAAGTATCTTATAAAGCAAAGAAAACCAACTTGACATCAGACATCTCCAAAGTGACATTCAATACCAGAAGAAAAAAGAAGCAATGCCTCCTTATCTAGAATTTGTGGGTAGAATTCTGTCCCCCAAAAAGGTATGTTACACTTTGGGAAACTGAGGCAGGTGGATCACTTGAGATCAGGAGTTCGAGACCAGCCTGGCCAACATGGTGAAACCCTAGCTCTAATAAAAATACAAAAATTAGCCGGGCATGGTGTGGTGGGTGGGGGCGCCTGTAATTCTAGCTACTCGGGAGGCTGAGGCAAGAGAATTTCTTGAACCCAGGAGGTGGAGGTTGCAGTGAGCCGAGATCCCGCCACTGCACTCCAGCCTGCGCGACAGAGCAAGACTCTGTCTCAAAAAAATAATAAAAATTTTAAAAGATATGTTAAAGCCTCAACTCCTGGTACCTATGAATGCAACCTTTTTGGAAATAGGGCCTTTGCAGATATAATCAAGTGAAGACGCAGTCACACCTGATTGGAGTGGGCCCTGATTCAATACAACTCACCTCCTTATAAGAAGACAAAAAAGGCCGGGTGTGGTGGCTCATGCCTGTAATCCCAGCACTTTGGGAGGCCAAGGTGTGTGGAGCACTTGAGGTCAGGAGTTCGAGACCAGCCTGGCCAACATGGTGAAATCCCGTCTCTACTAAAAACACAAAAATTAGCCAGTTGTGGTGGCGGACACTTGTAATCCCAGCTCTTTGGGAGGCTGAGGCAGGAGAATGGCGTGAACCCAGGAGGCAGAGCTTGCAGTGAGCAGAGATCATGCCACTGCACTCCAGCCTGGGCGACGGGGCAAGACTCTGTCTCAAAAAAAATAAAAAATAAAAAATAGAAGATGATTCGGCTCATGATTCTGGAGGCTGGGAAGTCCAAGTTTGAGGGGCTGCATCTGGCGAGGGCCTTCCTGCTGTGTCATCACATGGCAGAAGGCATCACATGGCAAGAGAGTGTGAGAGAGTGAGAGAACACATGCCCAGCCTCGAGGCCTTTTGTTACCTGCATGGATCATCCATGGATCATCCTAAACACCTCCCCTTAGGCCCTACCTCCCAACACTGTTGCATTGAAGACTGAGTTTCCAACACGTGTTTTTAGAGGGACACATTCAAATCACAGCTTCCCCCCTCCACCACCCATTTTAATCCTGGGCTTTGCCTGGCTCCAATTCCTCTCTTATGTAAAGCAATGGATCAGACACACAGCCTTGGGGGATCTGTGAGAACTGAAGGGACTGAGGCCTCTCTCACACAGAACCCCAAAGCCCTCCCATGCCTCCAGGACCCCCAGCAGGGAAGAACCCCACCTAACTCAGGGCCCAATCAGAGGCAGGGCCAAGGGTTATCCCTGCCCTCAGACTGGTTTTCCCAGGCTAGGGTCTGAGAACCCCGAGCAGCCAGTCCTTCTTCCCATGGGATGCGACTGGGCAGGGCCAGTGAAGGAACCCAGAGGCATGTTAGTCAAAGTGGGTTTCAGGCTCTGGGTGAGGGGTCCTGCATGGTGAGAATCTGGGCCCACCTCCCACAGAGCCCACAGAACAGACTCAAACTCAGACACCAACAAGAAGATGCCAAGGCTGGGGAGGGCAGGCCCAGCCCGCAGAGTTCCTGCAAGGACTCTTCCCTGGCTGTGGTTGGAGCAGCTGCTCAGGAAATCCCTGGCAGCAGAGTGGGCACCCCCTCCGGGCACCAGGAGGAGAGGTGTGCAGGGAGGATTCCGGGTCAGCCATTGGGATTTGAGACTCGCCTGGACACCCACATCCACTTCTCTCCCACCAGGAGTTTCTCCCATCAGGGAAGAGGAATGCTCAGATGGGCCCAGAGGCCATGCAGAAAGAAGGAGGCCTTCCCCGGGGCTGAGAAGGCAGTGATGGGAGGCCGGCCCCAGGCTTGGGGTGTGGGTGGTTTCAATTGGAAAACTTTAATAATAAAAAATTGGAAGAAAGAATGTAATTCCCTCTACAAAAATATGTCCTCGTGATGCCACGTACCCACCTACACCCACCTGACCCCAGGCACCTCCTTCCACAGCCAGCCACTGCAAAGGAGGCCAGGGAATGTGTCTTCCTGGTGCCCACGAAGGAGACACAGAGCTGGAGGGCATGGGGACCCAAGGTTCCAGGCTTCGGAAGGGAAAGCGTCCACAAGCGACCCCACAGTAATGACAGCCTCTGATGGCAGCCCCCACTGGCCAAACTACATCCCCCTGGGCAGAGTGCACCGGGCCTGGCTTCCCTCCATGCTGGTTCCAACTCACAGCCGGGGTGAGGCCAGGGCGAGGCCAGGTCCCCCCTTCACGGGGAAGGCTCCCTGGGTGCTTCCCTGGTCAGGGCTGTGCATTCTTGTCACCAGTCCCTCCCTGACCCCAGTGACTCTGGCTGGGCCTCCACCCCTGCCCAGACCCACCCCACCACAGAAGAACCTGACCTACCATTCACTCTTTTTTAAATATTTTATTTTTTCAGAGACAGGGTCTCACTGTGTTTCCCAGGCTAGAATATAGCGGCTGTTCACAGGCATGATCATAGCTCACTGCAGCCTGGAATCTCTGGCCTAAAGCAATCCTCCTGACTCAGCCTCCTGCGTAGCTACAGAGCCACAGGCCACGCCCGGCTCTCAGCATTCCCTCTTTTACTTTATTTATTTATTTATTTATTTATTTATTTATTTATTTATTTATTTTGAGGTGGAGTTTCACTCTTGTCACCCAGGCTGGAGTGCAATGGTGGGATCTCAGCTCATTGCAACCTTCGCCTCCCGGATTCAAGTGATTCTCCTGCCTCAGCCTCCCCAGTAGCTGGGATTACAGGCACCCGCCACCACGTCCAGCTAATTTTTTTATTTTTATTTTTTTTTTTAGTAGAGATGGGGTTTTGCCATTTAGGCCAGGCTGGTCTTGAACTCCTGACCTCAAGTGATCTGCCCACCTCAGCCTCCCAAAGTGCTGGGATTACAGGCATGAGCCACCATGCCTGGCTGGCTTTCCCTCTTGAGCACATGCATGTAGGCAGGAATCCCAGCCCCCTTTGCAGATGAGCAAACTGAGACACAGAGAGGTTCAGCCACCTGCGAAGGTTGCACAGCCAGGATCCACCACCTTTTCGCAGCACCCACCCTCTTCCCAAGGAGTGCCCAGTTCAGCAAGGCAGATGACACCAATCCCAACTGGGCAGCCAGGTTTTATGAGGCCAGGACAAACAGCACTGATTTGAAGCCTCGTAGAGGGGTTCAAATCACAGGCCCTGCCACAGGCTGGCCTCAGGATCCTGGGGGAGCTGTGGGCATGCTTCTGAGCTGTAGCTCCTCTATCCACCCAAGGGAGCTGGTAGCACTGGCCTTAAGAGTGTGCTGTGAGCCCGGGGGGTTGCAGCTGGGCATTGAATGATTCCTACCACCCCACAAATACCACTCTGCCCCTCCAACGGGGGCAACCCCTCATGGCCTGTCTCGGCAGCGTGGAAGTTACACTCTATTGCATCACCCCCAGGAAGATGGAGAGAGGCCCCCAGGACCTCATGAGGGTGGTTTTCTGCGTAATGAGATGCCTTGGATATTCCTAGAGGTCCGAGCCTAGGCCTCTGTCAGCACATCAGTGAATGCAGCCCTGCTGGACAAGCTCAGGAGGACTCCAGGATCCCGAGTGACACATTCCACATCCACACAGGCAGACCAGGGCCTGCAATTACAGATGGGAGGTCCCAAGGTCCAGGTGGGGGCTCCCACATGTTCCCAGGAAAGCACCAGGCAGGGAGGGTGGTGGGCAGCAGTTCTGGGCTTTGCTCCTCGCCAGGCCCCATTTCTTCATCTGTAAAATGGGGAGAAAATATTTTCCCTTCCTAACTGCATTGGAAAGACGAGATAAGCAGCCGACTGGGGAAGGTGGAACTTCCCACTCAAGCAATATTGGGCGAAATAAGTGGGTTCAGAGACTGAGCGGTGGTGCTGGCCCCAGACACTGGTGTGGATGCAACACGTCGCAGGACTCAGCCCGTCGAACCCCTGCCTGCCGCTGCACTGATGCCCCCTTCCCCCTCACAGAGCCCTGATGCCTGGCCATCCTGATGGCGGGAGCTCCCCTAGGCCTCTACAGCCATGGTCCAAACGAACCCTGCACTCCACACCGGGGCTCCTCACCACTGGGGCACCCTGGGCTGCCCTCGGGGCTGGCACTCTCGGTGGTGGGGGCCGTCCGACACCTGGTAGGATGCTGAGCGGCACCCCCGGCCTCCACCCACTAGACGTTGGTAGCATTCGTTGTGACAACCAATTTATACCTAAACATTGCCAATACTGCCCCCAGTGGAGAACCAATGACGGGTAGTCTAGACTGTCCATGTCACCTTCTCTTAGTCCTTCCCCGGACTGGGACGTCTCACAACCAAGTCCTTGTCCCACCCCACTCTCTACATCCCAGCATCCAGCACCGCCCCCTGCTGAGGGCTCGGCCAATGTTTCCTGAATGAATGAGTGGCCCCTGGATGTGAGCATGGGTCACACACCTCACGGTGATTGGGTGGGGGTTTCTCATGAGTAGAGGGACCCCCACATGCCAGGGCTGCGCTGAGCAGGGACGTCAGTGACTCCCTCTGTGAAGGCGGCCACTTGAGGCAGGATTCCAGGAGCCTCTGTCACACCCGGCAGTGCACAGGATGATTCAGAGAGAGGCTGTCCCAAGGCCTCCCGGCTCACTGGTCGCAGTCTTCCAGGTCCTCCCGCCACCCTCCACACAGCACCACTGCCACCCTCATCCCTGCTGGGCAGGAGAGGTGGTCGGGAGGGCAGACACAGGGCAGTGGGCGAGTCTGATCCGGGTTTTGTGAGGCCTCCCTATAAAGAAAGAATACAAACTTACAAAAACAAAATTAGGTATGACAGTGAATATTTATTTAGGATGAGGAAAAAAAAAAAGCAAACATACAAAATCCAGAAAACCAACATCGTGTTTTTACGAAGGGCCTGCTCCATCTCCATAACACTTCTTCTTGAACTTTTTGGCTGCGTACTTTTTATCTATCTCATTGTTTGAGAATTTTACATCACCTGTGATAGAAGGAATAGAAACATAATTGCTCTTCCTCCAGCATGGCTGATTGAAATTTGTTTTTTCTTATTTATAATTAGAACACATAGAACAGATGACTTAACACATGTGCACACAGCTTTGCAGTACAGCTAGAGGTCTGTGTACGTTAAACAACAAGTTCTGATCAATTCTATTTACAAGATTCCTGTTTGCAAAAGGAAGCAGGCCAGGCATAGTGGCTCCCACCTGTAATGCCAGTACTCTGGGAGCCCAAGGTGGGCGGATCACTTGAGCCCAGGAGTTTAAGACCAGCCTGGCCAACATGGTGAGATCCTGTGTCTACAAAAAAAAAAAAAAAAAAAAAGCTGGATGTGTAGTTCCAGCTACTTAGGAGGCTGAGGCGGAAGGATTGCTTGAGCCTGGGAGGTTGAGGCCCCAGTGAGCTGTGACTGCCCTACTGCACTGCAGCCTGGGCGACAGAGCAAGTCCCTATATCAAAAAAAAAAAAGAGGAAGCAGCAATGCTGGGTGCACATTTATAATTGTATACGATGCATTTATCAACAGACCATTTCTGCTCTGGCGAGGCCCTGATGAGAGCTGAATACTCTGCTTACAAAGGCACACGCCCGAGGACCGTCAGAGGGTCCACCGGGCGCTTGGGCTCCGTGTGTTTCAGACCAGCCTGGCCAACATGGTGAAATCCGCATCCATGTGCGGTGCAGAGCATGGCAGGGTGCATTCTCCTCCTCACCGTCTCTCCCAAGCACCTTCAGGTCGTGATGCCGAAGAAACCATCTATGCCCAGGTCTTAATCCATAAAGGTGCCTAACAGAGGTCAACGCTATTGAAAGGAAAGTCTAACATCGCTCTTGAAACATTCACTAGAAATGAGAGACGTGGCAGGCCCCGCAGGGCGGCAGGGGGAAGCCGCAGGCAGACCAGGAGGCAGAAAGGAGCTAGGGAAAGGCCAAGCCACAGCCTGTGTTGGCTTCCCTGTGAAAGCCGGGCAGAGCAGGGGAGACAGCTTGGGACGGGCTGATTTGTCTGATTCTGGGTTCCGGGGCTGTCCCTTGTGGTCTGGTTCTGGGCCTGGGTTGACACTGGGCAGGGAAATATTGGCTGGGGGTACAGAAGATGAAGGAAGTGGTTTGGAGCAGGGACTCTGGGCAGCAGGGGAGATGCTAACAGCCCTGGTCAGGAGGTTGGCCCTGTCATCATGACCGCAAGTACTCAAACGCAGGATCTAAGGAGGCACAGATCAAGGACGAAGCCAGCAGGAAGGTCAGTGGGGATGAGGGGGACTTGGGGTCTTTCTTCCTCTGCTTCCTTCCCCTTCCCACACCGGAGGGTAAATTGTGTTCTTCTGTGAAAGTCACAAGAACTCTCAGACACCCAGAGAGTTCACACACAAACACAGGAAAAGACACAAGTTGTATGACCATCTCAACAGATGCAGCCTAGTGTTTGATGACACTCACTGTCTGTTCTTAAGGAAAAGCTCAGCCCTCTGGGAAGAAAAGACCCATTGTTAAGCTGATGAAGGCCATCTATGGAAAAAGTCAGAGCTGCCAACAGAGCTAACAGGAAAATGTTGAAAGCTTTCTTTACAAGATTGGCAAGGGGGCAAAGAATCCTATTAGTGCCACTGCTATTCAATATCAGCCTGGATGTGGCAGACTGCACAGTGAGTCGGGTAAAGTTTGTGAAGAAGAAAACAAAACTGTCTTTATTCACAGATGATATGGTTGTGTATGCAGAAGAGCCTACATAATCCACAGGGAAATTCTGAGGATTCAGAGGAGTTTAGCAAAGTTGTTGGGTTCAAAATCCATAGGCAAGATTCCATTTTCTTACTATATATTAGCAACAATGTTGGAAATATAAAATTTATAAAAAGACATAATAGCACAAAATATCAAGAATCTAAGAATAATGTGCAAGGTCACTATACAGAAATGTTATTAGTAGGCATTAAAGATGGTCTAAACAAATGGAGATACCATGTTCATGGATTAGAAGACTCAAAATGAATTCTTCCCAGATTAATTAATTTTTTCCAAATTGATTTGTAGAACTAAAGAAATTGCTATCCAAATCCTAACCAGGTTTTTGTGGAACTTAAAATACTTACTCTAAAATTTGTGTTGTTTTCGTTTTTGATTTTTTTTTTCTTTTTCTTCTTCTTCTTATATTGAGATGGGGTTTCTCTATGTTTTCCATGCTGGTCTCAAACTCCTGGGCTCAAGCCATCCACCCACCTCAGCCTCTCAAAGTGCTTGGATTACAGGCATGAAGCACTTCATCCAGACTAAAATTTGTATGGAAATACAAATTCAATTTGACAAATATTTGGCCAGGCATGGTGGCTGATGTCTATAATCCCAGCATGTTGGGAGGCTGAGGCGGGTGGATCACTTGAGGTCAGGAGTTTGTGACCAGCCTGGCCAACATGGTGAAACCCCGTCTCTACTAAAAATACAAAAATTAGCCGGAAATCACTTGAACCCAGGAGGCGAAGGCTGCAGTGAGCCAAGATTGTGCCACTGTACTCCAGCCTGGTCAAGAGAGCGAGACTCCATCTCAAAAAGAAAAAATAATAAATAAAAAATATTTTTTGAGCCCCTTAGTCCAGGGACTGCTTCTGGTACTTGGGATGCCTCTAAGAACCCCACCCACAAAGACCCTTCTTCGTAGACCTTAGCAGGAGAGACACACAGTAAAGAGTAAACACAATACATAAGCAAAGTACCCAGTATGGCAGGAGGTCATAACTGTTTTGCAAAAAACCAAGACTACAGAGGGGAGGGTCACCAGGACATCTAGGGGCAGAGGTGGGGTGAGAATCCAACCTTCCAGACGGGCCATCTCTGCGACCCATCTCTGTGACCCCAACAAGAGGCCCCTCGCCGGCCATCCTGTTCCAGCTTCTGATGTCCTGATGTAGAAGCGGCTCCTCCGCAGCTCTGAGGTGAGAGGCCAAGCCCTCCGTGACCCCAAAAGGCCAGGGCTCCCCAAATGTTATCCACAAACACACCTGTGGGGACTGCAGGCTCCTACAAGGCGCCCTTGCACAGGTCTCTTGCAGAGCTTCTCCACCCACTCTCTGGGCCCTGACACAGTGGGAGGGTGCCTGTCCTTACCCCAGCCGGATGTCCCACCACACTCCTGCCTGGGGACTTCTGGCACGCAGGAGAGGCTGGACACGCAGATGCAGAGAGGCTTGCCCCAACGCCGTTGCCCGTTTTACCTTGAAGTTCGTGGTTCTTTAATTCTTGCTCCAAACTGTGAATCAACCTTTAAAATATATGATATTGAAGTTCTCCTTCAGCCTCCAGTCTTTCATCAGAGTTAAATCCAGAGATTTCACGAGCAGTAGATAAATTTGCAGTAGAGAAAAGTGCTCCAAAGGTGGGCACGCCTGGCTCCCATTTGGAGGTGTTTATAAATGCTTTTATGTAGACCCCTCCTAGATGACGAGGAATGGCCTCAGAGCAACCCTGGGAAGGATGAGGAGGGGTCTGGGGACTCCAGACGAAATTGCACAGCCACCTACCATGTGAGTGGAAACCCATGCTGCTTCTGCCTGGCCTCTAGGATCCGCGTTCAGGGGAAGCCGTGTCCCTGCGGTCATGAGACGTGATTGTTCAGACCAATGGATGAGGCTGAGCAGAATCATTTCATTTCCCCCGCACTTACCAAAGGCAGGGACTTTCCTGTTTGTCCCTGCCTGATATGCAGGAAGGGCTCAGAACTACTTAAGAACAAATCAATGAACCTATGGCTTTATGGCAAATACCACAGAAACAACCTTAGAAATGGGCTGAGGAGGCTGTCTGGCCTCTAACAAATGACCTCATCTCTCTGAACCTTAATTTCCTCATCAGTAAAGTGGCAGTGCAGCCCCTCCCTCACAGGACACTCCCTGGCAGAGTGCAGCCCTGCCGTGCAGCAGCCGGTATGACCTCGTCCTTGTGATCAGGAGGGCCCTGCTGAACTGTTTCCGCCCCGCAGGTGCCTACGAAGCCCGGGAAATGATGTGACCTTCCTGGAGCCATGCAATGGCTTTGTTGTCACCAGGAAAAGGGCCTGTGGCACCCGCCTGGCCACTCATGTCCTAAATGAGACAGGCCCTCTTCATCGGCCTCAGTGGCTCATTGAGATGAGGACTTGGGAATTTTGCTGTTTAACAGAGCAACTGAGCACCCAGGTGGCTGCCCCAGCAGACCCTGGAGACGTTTCAGGAGACCTGGCAGGGACCCAAGCCTCTGCCACTGCACCAGGCCCTGGCCAGAGGGCTGGGCTCAGAGCCCTTTATTTATTTATTTATTTATTTTATTTTTTAGAGACACAGTATTGCCCTGTCTCCCAGGCTGGAGCACAGCAGTTGAAACCATACCTCACTGCAGCCTCGATCTCCCAGGCTTAAATGATTCTCCTGCCTCAGCCTCCAAGTAGCTGGGACCACAGGCATATGCCACCATGCCAGCCTTATTGTTAAATGTTTTGGGTAGATCCCATCTCCCTATGTTGCTCAGGCTGGTCTTGAACTCCTGGGCTCAAGCGTTCCTCACATCTCAGCCTCTTGAGTAGCTGAGACCACAAGTGTGTGCCACCGCACCTGGCCCCAGAGCCCCTTTTAAACTGCAACTCACAGTCTCCAAGTTAGACTCACACAGAGAAGATCTAAATATGTGTCTCCTTGAGGGAGGCTGAGGAGTGGAGGAGGATGAACTCTTACAAAACATCAACCTTTTTAAAAATGTGTTTTCAGTAATTGCTGTTCTGCGCCAAGTTTTATCCTAGTGGGAGTTTCATGTCAGAATTACTAAGTAGGAGTTCATAACAGAGAAGTTAATCGCCCTTGTGTAGGGGCGAGGCACCGAGCGATGATCTCTGTGCCCAGGTAGGTGCTTCCTGGATCCGCACAAGCACAGGAGATGGCAGGTGGGGAGTGGGTGGGGGGTTATGAAGGGCAGCCGAGGAGGGGCAGGGGGCAGGGGGAAGCAGGATCTCTGACGGTAGAAGGGAGTGGTCACTACGTCCCCAACACACCCCCTTCATGTCCCCGCTATAGCCACACACCACGGGGGAAAGGCTCCAGGCCGGCCCCCATCCCCTCAGGACCATGATGCGGGCATCTGCAGAAACGGGTGGGGGCTGTCTGGCCTGAGAGGCCTAGAGCCAGGAACAGGTGGTTTAGAGCTGCCCTCCTCCTCCAACTTCAGCCCCAACCCCCTTCCTCAGCAGCAGATCCCACCTGAGTCTCTCCTAGGCCTGTTCTGGATCCGAAGTGGGTATGAGACATTCACCATCTATTCCTTTGCTCCACCGTCACCAGAGGCTTTGTGGTACCTTATTTTTGAGAAGAGGCAACATATTCTAGGACTAGGCTGGGAACAAGGGAGAAGTTCATCATGCATCCCTCCATTTATCCATCCATCCATCCATCCATCCATCCATCCATCCATCATCCATTCTCCCACCTACCCACTCATTCCCCATCCAGCTACCCACTCATCCATCCATCCATTTGTCCATTCACCTACCAATCCATTTATCTATCCATCCATCCCCATCCATCCATCCATCAATCATTATCGATCCATCTATCCACTCATCCATCTATCCACCTACCAATCCATTCATTATCCATTCATTCCTGTACATCCATCCATGTATCTACCTATCAATCCATTCATTATCCATCCACCTACCAATCCATTCATTATCCATCTACCCCATCCATCCATTCACCTACCAATTCTTACATTATCCATCCATCCCCATCCATCCATCCATCCACCCACTCATCCACCTATCAATTCATTCATTATCAATCCCTCCCCATCCATCCACCCACCCACTCATCCATTCATCATCCATCTATCCCCATCTACCCATCCACCTACCCATCCATCCATCCACCCATACATCCATCCACCCACCCACCCACCTATCAATTCATTCATTATCAATCCATCCCCATCCATCTACCCATCCACCCACTCATCCATTCATCATCTATTCCCATCCATCCATCCACTTACCCATCCATCCATTCACCCCATCTACCCATCCATCTATCCACCCATTATCCATCTATCCACCCACCCACCCATCCATTCATCATCCATCTATCCCCATCCATCCATCAACCCACCCACCCATTCAGCATCCATCTATTCCCATCCATCCATCCACCCACTCATCCACCCATCCATCCATCCACCCACCCATCCACTTACCAATTCATTCATTATCCATCCATCCCCATCCATCTATCCCCCCACTCATCCATCCACCATTCATCATCCATCTATCTCCATCCATCCATCTGTCCCCACCCATCCACCTACCCATCTACCCACTCATCATCCATCTGCCTACCCATCCAGCCACCCATCCATTCTTCATCTGGATGGACAAATCTTCATTGAGCACCAATTCTGTGCTGGGCAACAGGAGACAGAGATGCAGGAAACACAATCTCTGCTCTCAGAGAACATGCTTTCCAGGGACAAGAAGACATGGACAGATGGACAGAAGCACCAGGTGAAGATGCTAGGACATGGCTGATCTGTGGTCCATATCCTGTTGGGGAAAACTGGGGGCCTGGGGACGTTGGTCTAATGAAGAGAAGACTTGGAGGAACTGGCATATGCTGCTGAGAATGTTTGGTGCCCACCATAATACCTGGGAGGGGGGAGGGAGGACAGAGGGGTGACCACAGTGAAAATGTGGAGGGATCAGTGGAGTGTAAGCCCAGCCATTGAAGGAATGTTTAGGTGAGGCACTGCAGAAGTCAGCTGGACACAATCAGGAGTGTAAGTGTTAAAGAAAGAGGAAAGAAACACAAAACGCAGCTTTGGGGCTGACATATCTCTGGCCGGAGGGGAGGTTATCTCGGGGCTGGCAAGCCTCTGGTGAGGGAGGGGTTTGGAATGTTTCTGGTCTGAGATGTTATTTGTGGGTTTTGGTCATGCTGACCAGTGCTTATCCAAGATGGCAATACTCCTGCTGCTGGTTGGCCACTCGGAATTGTCTTCGTGGAGAGAGAAGACTTTATGGTTATGGGCCACAATATCTAGGGTGTGGCCATGGGAGAGGAGGGCTGGGGTAGTTTTGAGGTCAAGACCATGAAAGGAGAGCAGGCCAGGGTTTTGCAGGGATCACCCCCTGGAAACGGAAATCACCAAAAGTTATAAGAAGAGGAGGAGTGCTGGAGAGCGATGTGGTCCTTGAGGGGCGAGCGGGTGTCCATCTCCAGTTACAGCACAGTCAAGGGGATGCTCAAAGTGTTGACAAAAAAGAGTCAAACTCTGTAAAATATTTGAAGAGAGTTATTCTGAACCAAACCTGAGTGATCATGGCCCATGATGCAGCCCCCGGGAGGTCCTGAGAACATAAGTCCAAGGTGGTCAGGGTGCAACTTCATTTTACACATTTTAGGGAGACATGAGACCTCAATCTAATACATTTAAGAAATAAATTGGTTCAGAAAAGCAAGAGAACTAGAAGGCGGGGGGTGGGTGAGGGGGGACTTCCAGGCTATAGGCAGATTTAAAAATTTTCTGAGTGACAATTGGTTGAGTTGATTTAAAGACCTGGGATCAATAGAAAGAAAATGTTTGGGTTAAGATAAAGGATTGTGGAAACCAAAGTTCTTATTTGCAGAGGAAGCCTTCAGGTGGCAGGCTTCAGAGAGAATAGACTGTAAAATGTTTCTTATCAGACTAAAGTGTGTTGATGTTAATGCTGGAGCGATAATCATGCAAGTCCGATCCCCACTTCCCATCATGGCCTGAACCAGTCTTTCAGATTACATTATAAGAGTGCCCTGGCAGAGGAGGAGGTCCATTCAGATGGCTGGGGGGCCCTCAGAATTTTATTTTTGGTTTACAAAAAGTTTAGGATATGGGGGACATTGCTCATGGCTGGTCAGGAGCTCGAGAGTGGAAGGGTTTGAGGGAACTGGGGATGGGGGAAGGGGTCTGAGAAGGGGTTATACAGAGCTGTCTGGGGCAAGGGGTGGCCTGGGGGGACTCGAACTTTCCATACAGAGGGAGAAGCAGCATAATGAGCTTCATCCTGGGGTCTACAGTGGCAGACAGTGGGGAAAGCAGTGACAGGGAGTTTGCCAGCAGAGGAGGCAGCTTAGGGTGGTCTTACTCAAAGACCCTCCCTGAATGCTGGGAGCTGGGAAGGGGTTGGTTTTGCCCAAGCACATGGGGTCTCACTTGTCTTCAGGCAATGGTGGCTGCCTGAGGATAGCGGAGGCTCATTGCCCTAGGCCAAGTGGGAAAACTGCCTCACCCAGAAGGTCACACCCTCCCCCACAACCCAGTGCCTGATTGATGAGGGGAGGGAGAGGAGACACAAAATGGTCCTGGCCTCAAGGCAGGGACAGCCGTGAGGTGCAGTGCTCCTGAACTCCCCTTCATCCAACCAGGCTGAAGCAGTCATAGCCTTGCTCAGGTCTCTGCACCGGCTCTCTACCCCCACTCTCCTTTCCCAGGAGCACTCCCTCCATAATCACCTCCACAGGAATTCCATCTCAGCTCTGCTTCCAGGAAACCTGACCCAAGACAGAGGTTGTTGCAAGGGCAGAGGCCACAGGCATCCACGCCAGCCTCTGTGTGTTCAGTCTGTGAGCGGCCCAACGCTCCCCATGCACTCCTCCTTAAAGCCTACTCAACCCTGGGGTCTGCAGGCAAGTTCCTCGCGGGTGCCTTCCCTTGTCCTGGCTGCTGCTCTGCTTCCTTTGCAAGCTCCTTCTCGCACCCTTGCGCTGGCTCCCTCCAGAGGGCTCCATCCCCTGCCCACTGTGCCTTCGTGGGTGGTGCCCAGATCTCTGTCTCCTCTGCCCTGGACCCCTCTGCCCCTGACTGGCAGATCTATAGAGTTCAATGCCCCTGGAGGGCTCCACGTCCATCCCACAGGGACCCGGACTCTCATCTTCCTCCTGAGTGTGCTCTCCCCGGAGACCTGGCATTGGAATTCACCCTGCCACCTTGTGGTCTCCCCAAGTGGAAACCTGGGCGTCAGTCTGGACGCTTGTCACCAAATTCTGTCCCTTCCACCTTCACATGGCCTCTCCATCTTCACCGCCTCGGTGTCTCTATCTCGTCCCGATCACCGTCGCCTCTCCTCTGGCGGAGAGCACCAGCATTCCCACTGGTCTCTGCTTTTCCTCAAACGCATCTCTGTGTATATCTCCCCTCAGGATCACTCTGTGGCCCCCACTGCTCTGGGTGGAACCTTCTTTCCAGTGGTGTTTCAGTCCCCTGGGTCTGCCTCACTCCTCACCACCGTCTTGTGCTTCTGCACTGAGCTCCAGCCAGACCACCTGCCTGCAGCCACCTGGCACTACCTGTTCCCGTGTGCTTCCTGCCTTTGCCTGGAGAGAATAACAATCTATAGTCCAAACTCAAGGACAAAAACAAACTGCTTTTTGGCTGTGGTGGCATGAAACCCCAATAAGTCAATGACAATGCTGCATGCTTCTGAAAGCTGGCCAGTCAGGGACAGCCCCACACTACAGAACAGGCCCAGGCAGCAAGAACCTTGTGCCCCTGAAGTCAGGCTGAACACTCTCACTTCTGAAAGCTGGACAATCCTCAATGCCAGGCTTCCCAAGAGACTCAATTTGTTTTGCTCTGAGAGATGGTCCTATAAGCACAGTTCCCCTTTGCTCTAGTAAGCAAGATACTCAGCTTCAGCACTGACCAGCCTCATAATCCGTCCTCACCAAGTGGAGGGCCCTCCCTCCGGGTTCCTCCACGGCCGTATCTGTCTCTGTTCATACACCTTCCCCTCAGCACTTAGAGACATGGGCTGGCATGGCGGGTGCTGGCAGCAGGGGTGAGAAATAAACTTTCAGCCCTAGATGAGGAGCCCAAGAGGAGAGCATGCCATCACCTGGAGTCTCTGGTATGTGCCTGGCACCTGTACTGATTGCATTAACCACTGTGATTTTTTAAAAGATGTACTATTTTGAAATGTATAATACATACGGAGAAGTGTATGAAATATGTACAATTTAAAGATAAGGAAAAATGCATGCCTGTGTGCCCACCACCTAGTGAAGAAATACAACCTGGACACCACTTTGGAAGCCTGTCTGTGTTCACCCGTCGCATTCTCCCTCCTCCCCCAGCCCAGGTATCCTCCATCCTTTAGCCATCCCCTGACTTTCTTTAGTTTCATTGCCTGAAGTCTGAGCTACTAGGGAGGCTGAGGCAGGATAATTTCTTGAACCCAGGAGCAGAGGTTGCCGTGAGCCGAGATTGCCCCATTGCACTCCACCCTGGGTGACAGTGCGAGACTCCCTCAAAAAAAAAAGTTTGTGGGACCAATTCCAATTGAGTCAAGGGGTCTCAATTGGCCAAGGCAGTCTCAAACTTCTGACCCAAAGTGATCTGCCTAGTTCGGCCTCCCAAAGTGCTGGGATTGTAGGCGTGAGCCACCATGCCCGGCCTCCCCTCCTTTTCATTCAGGGATTTTAAATGTTTTATTTGCTCCATCTGTTATGTATGATTGCCTTGATGATTTCAGCTTGAATTAAAATTACATATTTTTGCCTGTGTTTATTAATATTTAAACATATTAAAATAATACATGTTCATAATGAAAATGAAACATTACAAATAAATACACAGGAAAGGCAGTATTCCCCTTCCAGTTCCACTCTTGAAATAACCAGTTAACAAGATGATGAACATCTTTCCATGATGTTTTCCAAGATTCATATTATTTTTGCAATCATACAATGGCATATACAGCTCAGGTGCGGTGGCTCACGCAAGTAATCCCAGTACTTTGGGAGACTGAACTGGGTGGATCATTTGAGGTCAGGAGTTCAAGACTAGCCTGGCCAACATAGTGAATCCCCATCACTACAAAAAACACAAAAATTATCTGGGCGTGGTGGCAGACGCTTGTATTCCCAGCTACTTGGGAGGTGGAGGCATGAGAATCACTTGAACCTGGGAGATGAAGGTTACAGGGAGCCGAAATCGCATTACTTCACTCCCACCTGGGCGACAGAGTGAGATTCCATCTCAATAAATAAATAAATAAACAGAAAGAAAGAAAGAAAAAAAGATGAAAGAAACAAAGAAAAAAGGAAGAAAGAGAGAAAAAAGACAGAGAAAGGAAGCAAGCAAGCAAGCAAGCAAGCAACCAAGAAAGAAAGAAAGAAAAAAAAATAGAAAGAAAAAGAAGTCATGTGCTCAGGTTGCTAGGATCGATGGTAAGAACAAATCCTCTAGCGGTGAAAATGTAAGAAGGAAAAAGAAATTTCTGTTAGTCTTGTTTGTTGCACCCCAAGCTCTAAAAATACAGCCACATGTGTGATAAGTACTTAGTTAAGATGAAAAAGGCATTAAATTTGTGCATGGAAATCATAAACAGAAATGTGTTCTGATTGACAGCAATTGGGTCAATGCTATCCAAGGTTCAGGCATCCACTGCGGGTCTTAGAACACATCTCCTGCAGATAAGGGAGGGCTACTATATAACGTTTCTTTCTTTTTTTCTTCAATTATAAAGCATTCTCCTTTTTCATATAACAATTTGCCATTGATATCACTTTAGGTATAAAGATATTAGGATATCTTTATAGTAGATAAAAAGCTAACTCATTATTTGTAAGAGTTAAAGTATCTTCCATTATATCAGCATATAAAATGCTAAAGTACTTTTGCCACCAAAAATAGTGCTTCTGTAAATATTCTTTTACTTATACCTTTATTTTTACTTCTGCTGAAACAAATAGCATGAGGAAACAAATGTATGTGTATAAAATATAATATATTTATATATATTTAATATGTGTATATACACATACATACAATAACATACCCAAATTTTTGGTTGTTTTTTGAGGTGGAGTTTTGCTCCGTCACCCAGGTTGGAGTGCAGTGGTGTGATTTCAGCTCACTGCAACCTCCACATCTTGGATTCAAGTGATTCTCCTGCCTCAGCCTCCTGAGTAGCTGGGAATACAGGCATCTGCCACCAAGTCCAGCTATCTTTGTCTTTCTGGTGGAGATGGGTTTTCACCATGTTGGCCAGGCTGCTTTTGAACTCCTGACCTCAAGTGGTCCACTGACCTTGCTCTCCCAAGGTGCTGGAATTACACTTGTGAGCCACCGCGCCTGGCCTAACATATACAATTTAATGTATATACAAATATGGGTTGGGTGCAGTGGCTCACTCCTGTAATCCTAGCACTTTGGGGAGCTGAGGTACGGGATTCTTTGAACCCAGGAGTTTGAAACCAGCATGGGCATCATGGTGAAACCCTGTCTGTACAAAAAACACACAAATTAGTTGGGTGTGGTGGCACGTGCCTGTGCTCTCAGCTACTCAGGAGACTGAGGTGGGAGGATAGCTGGAGCCCAGGTGTTCGAGGCTGCAGTGAGTTGTGATCATGCCACTGCACTCCAGCATGGGTGACAGAGTGAGACCCTGTCTTAGACAAAAACAAATCAAACCAAATGTAATGTTTATGCACTACACACTTGATTTCTTTCCAAAGGGTTATATAACACTAATTTCACCAGCAATATATGCGACTACTCATTTCCTACATACTCACTATCACTTGGGTGCAGTCAAGGAAACTTAGTAGGCCTGAATTGTCCAAACCTGGCATACTCCAAAGAATGGTGTGACTCTAGCCTGGCTCCTGGGAAATAACCTCTAAGTCCTTGGAATCTCCTGCCTATCTGGGAGTTAGTTAATAATGTGATTTATTGTGGGGACCTTGGACCATGCAGTGTCAGCTTGACCTTGGGAAAGGTGGAGACAGGAAACTAAGGTCATCCAAATGGGTGCTCTTGTCCATGAGACCAACCTCCAGTAAAACCCTCAACCCCAAGGCTCAGGTAAGCTTCTTGTTGGGGAGTATTTTCTGTACTTTCTGCCACATATCGTTGGGTGAATTAAGCACTGTTCACATGATACCACTGGCAGAGGACAACTGGAAGCTTGTGCTTGGTTTCTCCTGGACTCTGCCCTATGCACCTTTTTCTGCTGCTGATTTTAATCTGTATCCTTTTGTTGTAATAAACCATAACTATGAGTATAACAGCTTGACTCAGTTTTGTGAGTCCTTCTAATCAATCACTGAACTTTTGGGACCCCAAAACACAATGTTGTTTCTTAATTGAATTTTCCATGTTATGTAAGAAACCTATATGCATAATTGAAAATCCCACACTAAGAAAGAGCTCTCCATGCAGTCTACTCCCCACCCTGTTTCTCCAATAGTCCCGAGTCTACTTTCTGAATAATCAAATATTTAAATTTTCTAAACTATTTATAATCCATATATCTGAGTGCTTATCTCTGTTATATAATAGGTAGATCCTCCTCCTTCTGTTTTGTTTGTTTGTTTGTTTTTCTGAGACAGAGTCTTGCTATGTCACTCAGGCTGGAGTGCAGTGGCACAATCTTGGCTCACTGCAAGCTCCACCTCCCGGGTTCACTCCATTCTGCTGCCTCAGCCTCCCCAGCAGCTGGGACTACAGGCACCCACCGCCAGGCCTGGCTAATTTTTTTTTTTTTTTTTTAGTAGAGATGGGGTTTCACCGTGTTAGCCAGGATGGTCTTGATCTCCTGACCTCGTGATCCGCCTGCCTTGGCCTCCCAAAGTGCTGGGATTACAGACATGAGCCACCGTGCCCGGCCCCTCCTTCTTAATGTATCAACTTGATATATTACCTGATGGCTTCGTGTTCTGATAGCTGATGACTTGGCTGACACTCACCCCTTACCACAGTGCCTGAACCACTTTCCTTATATGGTGCTCTCACTATTTTCTTTTTCTTTTCTTTTCTTCTTCTTCTTTTTTTTTTTTTTTTTGAGACAGAGTCTTGCTCTGTCGCCCAGGCTAGAGTGCAGTGGTGCAATCTCAGCTCACTGCAACCTCCACCTCCCAGGTTCAAGTGATTCTGCTGCCTCAGCCTCATGAGTAGCTGGGATTACAGGCATGAGCCACCATGCCCAGCTAATTTTTGTATTTTTAGTAGCAGCAGGGTTTCGCTTTCTTGCCCAGGCTGGTCTCAAACTCCTGATCTTGTGATCCACCCACCTTGGCCTCCAAAAGTGTTGGGATTACAGGTGTGAGCCACCGACCCGGCCACTCTCACTATTTTCAATGGCTCTGTTGGTTACTAGTCACAACATTCAACAATTAGACTTATACCTCATTTATTTATTTATTTTTAATTTTTTCTGTTTTTAGGTTTAAGGGATACATGTGCAGGCTTGTTACACAGGTAAATTGCATGCCACTGGAGTTTGGTGTACAAATGATGTTGTCACCCAGGTAGTAACCAGAGTACCCAATAGTTTTTTGACCCATAGCCTCATGCCATCCTCCCCACTCAAGCAGACCCTGGTGTCTATTGATCCCATCTGTGTGTCCATGTGTACTCAGTGTTTAGCTCCCACTTATAAGTGAGACCATGGGTATTTGGTTACCTGATGCTGCATTAATTTGTTTAGGATAATGGACTCCAGCTGCATCCATGTTGCTTCAAGGGACATGGTTTCTTTCTCTATGGCTATGTAGTATTCCATGGTGTATAATTACCACATTTTCGTTATCCAATCCACTGCTGATGGGCATCATATATGCCACTTCAAACTATACTACTAGGCTACAGTAACCAAAATAGCATAGTAGTGGTACAAATACAGCACATAGACCAATGGAATAGGTTAGAAAACCCAGAAATAAATTCACACACCTATAACCATGTGATCTTTGACATAGTCAACAAAAGTGAGCAATGAAGAAAGGACTCCCTATTCAACAAATGATTCTGGGATAACTGGCTACCCACATGCAGAAGACTGAGTGTGGGCCCCCTACCTTTCACCATATACAAAAATTAACTCCAAATGGATTAAAGATTTAAATATAAGACCTCAAACTATAAAAATACTGGAAGACAACCTAGGAAACACTCTTCTCAACATCGGCCTTGGCAAATAATTTTTGGCTAAGATTCCAAAAAAGCAATTGCAGCAAAAACAAAAGTAGACAAGTGGTACCTAATTAAGCCAGAAGCTGGGAGGCCAGGTTGGGCAGATCACAAGGTCAGGAGTTTGAGACCAGCCTGACCAACATGGTGAAACCCTGTCTCTAATAAAAATACAAAAATTAGGTGGTGGCGGCACACACCTGTAATCCCAGCTATTCAGGAGGCTGAGGCAGGAGAATTGCTTGAACCTAGGAGGCAGAGGTTGCAGTGAGCTGAGATCGCACCACTGCACTCCAGCCTGGGTGACAGAGCAAGACTGCCTCAAAAAAAAAAATTAAAGTAAAATAAAAGCATAAACACAACAAGAAAAACTATCAACAGAGTAAACAAACTACAGAATGGGAGAAGATACTCACAAACGATGTATCCAACAAAGGCCTAATAATATCCAGAATCTATAGACAACATAAACAAATGGATCCCTTACTCTGTAGCAAGTTCTGTATGCATAAGCCTCTCTTTGTTCTTATTTTGGTGGCCTCTGTTTATTTACACAAAGAGAAATAACTGCTATTCCCATAAATCATGGCTTTCAAAATGGTCACAGTTCACTGGGCATGCTTGCTCATGCCTGTAATTCTACCACTTTGAGAGACCGAGGCGGGCAGATCATGAGGTCAGGAGATCGAGGCCATCCTGGCCAACCCAGTGAAACCCCATCTCTACCAAAAATACAAAAAGAAAAAAAAAGCCATGATTGGTGGCATGCACCTATAATCCCAGCTACTTAGGAGGCTGAGGCAGGAGAATCACCTGAATCCAGGAGGCAGAGGTTGCAGTGAGCCGAGATCACGCCACTGCACTCCAGCCTGGATGACAGAGTAAGACCGTCTCAAAAAACCCAAACTGGTCAGGCTCGGTGGCTCACGCCTGTAATCCCAGCACTTTTGGAGGCTGAGGCAGGTGGATCACAAGGTCAAGAATTCAACACCAGCCTGGCCAAGATGGCTAATCCCCAACTCTACTAAAAAATACAAAAATTATCCAGGCACGGTGGCAGGCACCTGTGATCCTAGCTACTTGGGAGGCTGAGGCAGGAGAATCGCTTCAACCCAGGAGGCAGAGGTTGCAGTGAGCTGAGATCTCACCACTGCACTCCAGCCTGGGCAATAGAGTGAGAATCTGTCTCAAAAAAAAAAAAAAAATGGGGAAACTCCATCTCTACTAAAAATACAAAATTAGCCAGGCATGGTGGCACATGCCTGTAATCCCAGCTACTTGGGAGGCTGAGGCAAGAGAATCGCTTGAACCTGGGAGGCAGAGGTTTTGGGGAGGTGGAGGTTGAGGTGAGCCAAGATCGTGGCATTGCACTGCAGCCTGGGCAACAAGAGTAAAACTCTCTCTAACAAACAAACAAACAAACAAACAAAACAAAACAAAGAAAAATACACACAACTTATTTCCTGGTTTGTGATAATCTGTGAAATATATTTTGAAATGAATTGGAATTCAATACAGTACTATTCACACCCCAAATACTCCTAATATTTCCTTTCCCAGATGATGACCTGGTACTCTTCCTAGGGCTTGACTTCTCCCTACAGGTCCCCAGTACAAGTATTTGTGATTCTGAGTCAATTCATTGTCTACATGTGTGACAATGCAATGCTCTTGTTGTAGAGTACCAAGATGAGGCAGGTCCAAACTGCACATTTGTAGAGAACATAGTATATGTGCAATTGAACATGTATGTGGTTGTGATACTGAAAACAATACGAACTTATGCCAGGTGCAATGGCTGATGCCTGTAATCTTAGCAATTTGGGAGGCCGAGGCATGGAGATCACCTGAGGTCAGGAGTTTGAGAGCAGCCTGGCCAACCTGCTGAAACCCCGTCTCTACTAAAAGTACAAAAAATTAGCTGGGCGTGGTGGCAGGCACCTGTAATTCCACCTACTCGGGAGGCTGAGGTGGGAGAATCGCTTGAACCCAGGAGATGGAGGTTGCAATGAGCCAAGATCACACCACTGCATTCCAGCCTGGGTGACAAGAGTAAAACTGCGTCAAGAAAAAAAAAAAAAAATTGGCCTTGGGCGTTTCTTTACGTTGGCTCCTGTGTTCTATTTATAGCATGCCTTTATCAGGGGGTTGGGGTGTGGGACTAATTACCAACTTTCTGGCACATAAAGTGTTTTGATTCATCTGGTATTTTCCCTGACCCAGACGTGAAATAAACCATTTATTTAAAGATCCTTGGCTTCTTTCATTGAAAAGTATTATTTACAAAGCACCAAAATCTTGGGCTGGGTGAGGTGGCTCAGGTCTGTAATCTCAACACTTTGGGAGGCTGAGGCAGGAGGATCCCTTGAGGCCAAGAGTTTGAGACAAGCTTGGGCAATGCAGTGAGACCCCCATCTCTATTTTTAAAAACCAAACAAAAACAAAATCGCCAAGATCGGGGTGACACGTGTGCTCATTGCTATGGGTGTGTCATTGCTTCTAGGCCCTCTTAGTGGGCAGAACTAGGAAATATATTGTACGTATACTAACACACATGTCACATGCCTAATTTGTATATTTATTTAGCCTTACTGGAAGCATTCTTTTTTTTTTTTTTGAGACAGGGTCTCACTCTGTCACCTAGGCTGGAGAGCAGTGGCATAATCTCAGCTCAATGCAACCTCCACCTCCCAGGTTCAAGTGATTCTCCTGCCTCAACCTCCTGAGTAGTTGGCACTACAGGTGCATGCCACCATGCCTGGTTAATTTTTGTATTTTTAGTAGAGACGGGGTTTCACCATGTTGGCCAGGCTTGTCTGGAACTCCTGACCTCAGTGGATCTGCCCCCCTTGGCCTCCCAAAGTGCTGGAATTACAGGCATGAGCCTCTGTGCCTGGCCAAGCATTTTTAATGGGAGTGATATTGCCCCTAAGAGGGTGAACATTGGTTATTGAAGGTAAAATGAATTATAGTTGTTGCAATGGTTTGTGGCCTTCCACAATTTTTTTTTTTTTTTCAGAGAGGGAACCTCACTCTGTCACCCAAGCTGGAGTGCAGTGGTGCAATCTCTGCTCACTGCAACCTCTGCCTCCTGGGTTCAAGCGATTCTCCTGCCTCAGTCTCCCAAGTAGCTGGGATTACTGGCACACACTACCACGGTCAGCTAATTTTTGAATTTTTTGTAGAGACGGAGTTTCACCATGTTGGCCAGGCTGGTCTAGAACTACTGATCTCAAGTGATCTGCCTGCCTCGGCCTCCCAAAGTGCTGGAATTACAAGTATAAGCCACCATGCCTGGCCTATTGCACAAAATTTTACCCCTTGGTATTTAATTTCTCTCAAATATGATGGGCAGCATTAATCATTTTATGGAAGATAAAAAATCCAAGCAAGATCAGGCCATGCACGGTGGCTCACACCTGTAATCTCAGCACTTTGAGAGGCCAAGGAAGGTGGATCACTGAAATTCAGGAGTTCAAACCAGCCTGGCCAACATAGTAAAACCCTGTGTCAACTAAAAATACAAAACAATTACCCAGAAGTGGTGGCACCTGCCTGTAATCCCAGCTACATGGGAGGCTGAAGCACGAAAATCGCTTGAACCCAGGAGGCAGAGGTTGCAGTGAGTGGATCGTGCCACCACCCTTCATCCTGCGTGACAGAGCGAGCCTCCACCTCAAAAAAAAAAAAAATCTTTGCAAGATCAGTGCTACAAAATGATGGCAAATTGATGGCTATACCTGGAAGACTTTTTCTTGATTGAATGCTCTATCCCAAAGTTATATGAGAGGTGGTCTGTGTGTGTCTGTCTATTGGCTGCCTTGTGGATAGTATTTATGATTGATCCTCAGTGCTTTGGGAATTATGTAAAATAGTTTATATTATGAAAGTAATTCAACCTAGCATTAATTGTGTTAAGTGTTGAAAATGAAAAGTGTTGACTACATCGGAATGAATGAATATCTGGCCAACTGGTTTTGTTTTTTTGTTTGTTTGTTTTTGTTTTTAGAGATGGAGACTCACTCTGTTGCCCAGGCTGGAATGCAGACATGATCTTGGCTCACTGCAACCTCCACCTCCTGGGTTCTAGCAAGTCTCCTGTCTCAGCCTCCCGTGTAGCAGGGACTACAGGTACTTGCCCCCACACCCAGGTAATTTTTTGTATTTTAGTAAAGACGGGGTTTCACCCTGTTGCCCAGGCTGGTCTTGAAATCCTGAGTTCAGGCAATCCACCCACCTCAGCCTCCCAAAGTGCTAGGATTACAGGTGTGAGCCACCGCGCCCAGCCTAGCTTACAGTTTTATTGAAAACCCCATTTAACTCAAAACAGCTTTTTTCTTATAAATAATAGTTTTTGTTTGTTTTTTGTTTGTTTTTACAAACAGCTATGAAATCAAGATTTGTGGATCATCAATAAAAGAAACATCCTGATAAAGTCGAGAAACAGAATATTTAAAAAGTTTAAAATAGAATTTTGAACTGTAACACTGTTACTTCTTATTTAAGAAGGACAAGCCGTGGGGTGAGGTGGCTCACACCTGTAATCCCAACACTTTGGGAGGCTGAGGTGGGTGTATCACATGAGCCCAGGAGTTGGAGACCAGCCTGGGTAATATGGTGAAATCTTGTCTCCACTAAAAACACAAAAACTAGCCTGGCATGGTGTGTGCACCTGTAATTCCAGGTACTCGGGAGGCTGAGGCAGGAGACTCGCTTCAACCTGAGAGGTGGAGGATGCAGTGAGCCGAGATTGCAGCACCATGCTCCAGCCTGGACTATAGAGCAACACTCGGTATAAAAAAAAAAAAAAAAAAAGGATAAGCAAACAAATTATGATGAAATAATTGCCTTATAAAATTGCAGAAATAGGCCAGGCGTGGTGACTCATGCCTGTAATCCCAGCAATTTGGGAGGCCGAGGCAGGCGCATCACCTGAGGTCGGGAGTTTGAGACCGGTCTGGCCAACATGGTGAAACCCCGTCTCTACTAAAAATACAAAGTTAGCCGGGCGTGGTGGCACACGCCTGTAATCCCAGCTACTCGGGAGGCTGAGGCAGAAGAATCACTTGAGTCCCGGAGACGGAGCTTGCAGTGAGGTGAGATCATGCCACTGCACTCCAGCCTGGCTAACACAGCGAGACTCTGTCTCAAAAAAAAAAAAAAGAAAAAAAGAAAAGATTACAGAAATCATTGTAAAACCCCATAGTGCTTTGTACTTGCTGAAACTGTCACAAGACTCACATGAGAGACGGTAACTTCAATAGTGATGTAACACATTACCACTATTTCACAATCACTCCTATTGAGCAATAATTCAATTCAAAGATGCATTAATGAGATGTCAGGTAATACCAAAGAGTAGCTGATTAATCAAGTAAGTTTCCTATTCAGATCAATGAAATCAGTTACTGAGAGTAAGGCCTGACAATAGGACATGTTTGTTATTTCAATAATGACTGCAAACTAAAAGAAGAGATATTGTTTGTAAAATCTTTAGACGCTGACCATACCAGAGTATCTATTCTTGCTGCTATAAAAACTTGGTTTGGGGCTGGGTGCAGTGGCTCACGCCTGTAATCTCAGCACTATCATTTTCTCATATGAATCGGAAAATGCTGACTTCTACATCCTAAATCTAAACTAATTTCCCACTCACTTGCTAAGCTTCAGTCACACCAGGCTGCTTTCTGTTTCCGGAACGCTCCAAGCGCTCTCTGATTTTTCAGGGTCTTCAGTGTAACTGTGCCTCTGCTTGGAATACCCTTCCACACTGCTGGCTCCTCACCACCAAAGCTCGAGGGTTATCTCTCAGACACCCGTCCTATCAATGCTACGGGAAGTATCCCTCAAGTTACTGCCTATACCACCTATTGATATATTTCATAGTATTTATCACAATATAAAATTACTTCATCTTCCCCTTTTAATTTAAAATCTTTTTTGTTCTCCAGACTAGAATGTAAACCTCATGTGGGCAGCAGACATGTCTGCTTACTTATTTTTTGAGACGGAGTCTCACTCTGTCACCCAGGCTGGAGTGCAACGGCGCGATCCCGGCTCACTGCAACCTCCACCTCCCGGGTTCAAGCGATTCTGCTGCCCCAGCCTTCCAAGAAGCTGAGATTACAGGCGCCCACCAGGCCCGGCTAATTTTTGTATTTTTAGCAGGGGAGCAGTCGGGCTCTGGACTACATTTCCCGGAGGATTCTGCGGGCCAATACCATGTCTCGCGAGATTTTGGCTTCCTCTTAGCCAGGTGGCAGAATCTTTCGCTGTGCCCAATTAGCTGCTGCCACGCCTTGGAGTCCGGAGTAACTTGGCCAGGCCGGCCCCGAGCGGAACTAGAGAAAGCTGAGGATGAGGAATCCGGCTCTGGTCCTTTTGTGTGTGGAGGGCTGAGGAGAGGAGTTTGCGTGTGTGATTGCGATGGTTGCTGTGGGTCTTCGTGGTCTGTGACTGTGGCTGTGTGGTGCTGACTCTGGGTGATCAGGTGGGCGCTTGTGACTGTGCGCGCTCGGAGTGGATGTGTGTGTCCTGGACGAGCCGCGTTGTGTGTGCGGATGTGGACAACCGGTGACTGTGTAGTGGGGGCTGCTTGTCCCAAGGTGGGTGTGTGACTTTGCGTGTGTGTGCAGTACTGTGTGTGCATGAGTTGCAGGTCTGTGGCTGTGCAGGTGCAACTTGTGTGGCCCCGTGGTCTGTGTGAGAGAGGAGAGTGTGATTGGCTGTGAGGCAGAGGGTAAGTGGATATAGGGAGGCATGTGTGCGATTGGAAATTTGTGTGTCCCCTTGAGAGAAAAAACCCTTTAGGGAGTTAGAGCGGGTCCTTGGTAAAACTCCTTTCAACAGAGAAACAGCCTGAAAAATCAGGCTGCAGGCACAGAGAAGGAAAACTAGCAAAGGGGGTTGTCCTAAAGACATTCCTCAGCTGCATTGATAAGGGACCGAGGCCCAACATAGAAATGCCTTTGTCCTTTGTGTGACCAGCGGGCTTCCAGGAAATAGTCGCTTTTTTGTGGGCATGTATATGGTGGGCTCTGTTAGATTTTGAAGGGAAGGTGAAGGTTAAAGAAAGAGAGAGAGTTGGCGGCTCTATGGAGGGGACCAACTAAATGCCAGAGCCCACTGCCGCTTACAGGCTGGAGTAATTATAGGCCTGGGCAGGAGGGATCTGGGCAGTATAGCTTGTTGCCTGGGAGAATGTTGATAAGGATGTTTCTTGGGCCTTTCCCCAGCAGGATGTGATAAGGAAGTCAGGCGGTTGGGGAGGATGTTTCTCGCAGCCCAAACCCCAGTGGAATGTTTCCCTCTGACCAGGGTCTGTGAAATGGTGGGGGCTTACAAATCGGTGCAGCTTGGACTAACAGGCTCTGGTGACCACTTTCCTTTTCTGGACATGCTTTGGACTGTGAGCCGAGCCTCTGTGAATCATCACTTCAGCCCCTGATTGGTCCTGGGCCAAACTTTCACTTCAGCCCCTGATTGGTCTTGGGCCAAAATTTCACTTCAGCCTCTGGTTGGTCCCAAGCTAAGGTCCCGGGCCAAGCGAAGTTGTGCTTTCTCCAAGACAGCTCACAGACTAGTGAGCACATTCTTCCCCTTCCCAGTTCACAAAACCCCCAGATTCAGCCTCCTAGTTGGCAACCCTCTTTCGGGTCCCCTCTCCGCTGGGGAGAGCTTTCTTCTTTTGCATATTAAACTTCTGTTCCAACCTCATCCTTTGTGTCCACATTCCTTAACATTCTTGGCTGTGAGGGAAAGAAGGCAAAGACAAGAGCCTTTATCCTAACAACTCAATTGCTGGAGAGAAGATTCATGCATATTCTATGTGGCATCACATGCCATAGCCCTGGGATTGAAAGCCATGCAATTTAAGGGATGGTGTTAATCTCAGTCCAAATAGGTAATAAGATCTTGCACTTTGCTATATTTTAGGGGTAGGAATGAGATTGGGGGTTTGATCAATAATTTGTACCCATAGGACCAGTGATTTGCCCAGTCATCTGTGAGTAAATGCTTGGGCCAGTTTCCATGTCTGTATTGAATTAAAAACTCATACGGTTCTGTGATTTTTGTCAAATACAGATTTGGTCTTTGTCCCTATTTCCTGGTATACAACTCCTAAAATCCTTGGAATGTCCTAAGGGCTTGCTTTTTTTTTTTTTTTTTTTTTTTTTGAAATGGAGTCTTGCTCTGTAACCCAGGCTGCAGTGCAGTGGCGCAATCTCCACTCACTGCAACCTCTGCCTCCCGGGTTCAAACAATTCTTCTGCCTCAGCCTCCCAAGTAGACTACAGGCATGTGCCACCATGGTCGGCTAATTTTTGTCTTTGTTTTCTTTTTTAGTAGAGACGGGGTTTCACCATATTGGCCAGTCTGGTCTCGAACTCCTGACCTCAAGGGATCTGCCTGCCTCGGGCTCCCAAAGTGTTGGGATTACAGGCATGAGCCACTGCACCCAGGCTTTGGCTTTTATATGTTAGGGATTGACCGATAGCTTCAGGATGTGGGCTGGTCATCAGAAAGACCAAGGCAGGATTAGAGGGCTGGGACTTTCAGCCCCTACTCTCCCACCCCTGGGGAGTGGAGGGGACTGAGGATTAAGTTGATGGCAAGTGGCTAATGGTTTAATCAATCATGCCTATGTAATGAGGCCACCTTACAAACCCAAAAGGAGTGGATTCGGAGAGCTTCCAGAGAGCTGAACACATGGAGGTTCCTGGAGGGTCGTGCCCAGGGAGGGGATGGAAGCTCTGTGCCCCTTCCCCCATACCTCACGCTAGGCATCTCTTCATCTATATCCTTTGGAATATCCTTGTAATCAAACAGTAAATGTGTTTCCCTGAGGTTTGTGAGCCATTTTATTCTAGCAAATTAATCAAACCCAAAGAGGGGGTCGTAGGAACCCCAAATTAAATCTGTCAGTCAGAAGTTCCAGAGGCTGGGACTTGTGGCTGGTGTCTGAAAGGGGGGCAGTTTTGGGGGCTGAGCCCTCAATCTGTGGGGTGACACTATCTCATGGTAGATAGTGTCAGAATCGAATTGGTGGATACCCAGCTGGTGTCTGCTGCAGAACTGATTCCTTGCTTGCTGATAGGGAGAAATCTCCTCATATTTTGAGGCCACAGAAGTCTTCTGGGTAGATTGTTGTGGTTTTGGTGTGAAGCAGAGGGAGAACACAGGTTGAGTTTTTTCCAAATGGATTCACATTGGGGGTCCTCAACCTCAAATCCATCAACTCCATCGCTGAATTTTTATTTATGTATTTATTTTTATTTTTGAGGTAGAGTCTCACTCTCTCTCCCAGGCTGGAGTGCAGTGGTACCATCTCAGCTCATTGCAGCCTTCATCTCCTATGCTCAAGTGATCCTTCTACCTCAGCCTGCCAAATAAGCTGAAACCAGAGGCACACACTAGCACTGTGGCATAATTAAAAATAATTTTCAGTAGATAAGAAGACTCACTATGTTGTCTGGGCTGAACTTGAACTCCTGAGTTCAAGTGATCCTCCCACCTCTGCCTCCAAAGTTCTATGATTACAGGCATGAGCTGTCTCACCTATCACTGATTTTCTTTTTCTTTCTTTCTTTTTTTTTTTTTTTTTTGACAGAGTCTCACTCTGCCTTGCCCAGGCTGAACTGCAGTGGTGCAATCTCGGCTCACTGCAGCCTCCGCCTCCCGGGTTCAAGTGATTCTCCTGTCTCAGCCTCCTGAATAGTTGGGATTAGAGGTGCCCACCACCACACCTGACCAATTTTTGTATTTTTAGTAGAGACAGGGTTTCACCATATTGGCCATGCTGGTCACCAACTCCTGATCTCAGGTGATCCACCTGCCTTGGCCTCCAAAAGTGCAGTGGCAGGATCAGGGCATACTGCAGCCTTGACCTCCGGGGCTGAAGGGATCCTCCCTCCTCAGCCTCCCAAGTAGCTGGATTATAGGCATATGGCACCATGCCAGGCTAATATTTGTAATTTTTGCACAGATGGTGTTTTGCCATGTTGCCCAGTCTGGTCTTGAACTCCTGAGCTCCAACAATCTTCCCACCTGAGCCTCCCAAAGTGCCGGGATTACAGGAAAGAGCCACTGCACCCGGCCTATCACTGCATTTTTAAAGGGAAGGAGGACTATAGTGAGATTCACTAAGGCTTACAGAAAAGGTAGAACCCTAGATAGATTTAAAGACAGAGATTATAATATCCTTGAGATAATATCCAAATTTAGCTTTCATAGATAGGGAAATTTGAAGTACATCAGACTATAAGGTGGCATTTTGTGCAACTAATTAAAACTATGTTTGAAAGAGAGCAATTGCATTTTCATTACTGAGTAATATTAAGCAACAATGAAAATAAATAGAAATAACCAAGAAATTGTTATATTTAAATCTTCCCTCCTTTTTTGGAAAGAGAAGTATTGATATTTTTAGATTCTAATCAAAACTTCTCTTAAAAAAAATTGATGATTCTATGGAGATAGGGAGGGAATAACCTGTGTTTATTGAACACCTAATATTCCACTTACCCAAATGTCATTTATTCTATATTCTAGTTTTTTGTTGAGACAGGGTCTTTCTTGCTCTGTTACCCATCCTAGAGTGCAGTGGGGTTGTCACAGCTCACAGATGTATACCACCATGCCTGGCTTATTATTTTATTTTATTTTATTTTATTATTTTATTTTATTTTATTTTATTTTATTTTATATTTTATTTTATTTTATATTTTATTTTATTTTATTTTATATTTTAATTTTATTTTATTTTATTTTATTTTATTTTTGCAGAGATGATGTCTCCCTATATTTCCCAGGCTTGACTTGAACTTCTGGGCTCAAGCGATCCTCCTGCCTTGGCATCCCAAAGTGCTGGGATTATAGGCATAAGCCACTGTGCTCAGGCAATATTAAAGTCTTGATAATAGAAGTGTCTCAGTGTACTGGAATGCTTTGTCTAAATTTTGAAAAAATATTAAAAAACACGTTGGTTTTATTTGGCCAATACTGATTTCTTTGCTCCCTCATTATTTATTGTCATTATTAGCCTGTTGACTTTCAATTTCTTTACATCCCTTTCACTCCTTTTATTTTGTCCCCCAAATAGAAATTCTTTTTTTTTTTTTTTAGATGGATTCTCGCTCTTGGCTCTTGTGACCCAGGCTGGAGTGCAGTGGTGCAGTCTCATCACTGTAATCTTCACCTTCCAGGTTCAGGCAATTCTCCTGCCTCAGCCTCCAGAGTAGCCTAGATTACAGGCATGTGCCACTACACCCCGCTAATTTTTTGTATTCTTTCTTTTTTTTTTTTCTTTGAGATGCAGTTTCGCTCTTGTTGCCCAGGCTGGAGTGCAATGGCATGAACTCTGCTCACTGCAACTTCTGCCTCCCAGGTTCAAGCAATTCTCCTGCTTCAGCCTCCCAAGTAGCTGGGATTAGAGAGTGAGTCACCACACCTGACTAATTTTTATATTTTTAGTAGAGACAGGGTTTTGCCATGTTGGACAGGCTGGTCTGGAACACCTGATCTCAAGTCATCTGCCTGTCTTGGCCTCCCAAAGTGCTGGGATTACAGGCATGAGCCACTGTGCCCGGCTTTTTTGTATTTTTATATTTATTTATATTTTGATAGAGAGTCTCACTCTGTTGCCCAGGCTGGAGTGCAGTGACACAGTCTTGGCTCACTGCAACCTCTGCCTCCCAGGCTGAAGTGATTCTCCTGCCTCTGCCTCCCGAGTAGCTGGTATTACAGGCACCTGCCACCACACCTGGCTACCTTTTGTATTTTAGTTAGAGACAGGGTTTCACCATGTTGGCCAGGCTGGTCTTGAACTCCTGACCTCAGGTGATCTGCCCACCTTGGCCTCCCAAAGTGGCCTTGCTTGAGGCCAGGAGTTTGAGGCCAGCCTGGCCAACATGGTGAAACCTGCTCTCTACCAAAAATACCAAAAAAAAATTAGCCGGGTATGGTGGTGTGTGCCTGTATTCCAAGCTACTTTGATGGCTGAGTCACAAAAATCACTTGAACCCGGGAGGCAGAGGTTGCAGTGAGCTGTGATCACCTCACTGCTCTGTAGCCTGGGTAACAGATTGAGACTTGTCTCAAAAAAAAAAAAAAAAAAATTCTTGGCAGGACGTGGTGGCTCACACCTGTAATCCCAGCACTTTGGGAGGCCAAGGTGGGTTGATCCCCTGAGGTCAGGAGTTTGAGACCAGCCTGACTAACATGGAGAAACTCCATCTCTCCTAAAAATACAAAATTAGCTGGGCGTGGTGGTGCGTGCCTTTAATCCCAGCTACTCGGGAGTATGAGGCAGGAGAATCACATGAACCCAGGAGGCAGAGGTTGCAGTGAGCCAAGATCACACCACTGCACTCCAGCCTGGGCAACAAGAGCGAAACTCCATCTCAAAAAAAGAAAAAAAATCTTTACTTTGGATGAATACTTAGAAATGGAATTTCCAGGTCGGCCTTTAGATATTATTAATGGATTTAATATGAAAAACCTTTACTTGAGGATGTATAAAGCTTTAAAAGACAAGGTCCCTGCTCTTAAGCTATAAATAAAGCAGCATTTGTAAGGTAATATTCAGAAAACATCAGATAATCTCCTATAAAGTCCTCCTGTTCATGCTGATGACATTAGATGGCCAGTTAAGAATGACACTTCATTCTTTCCCCTGCAACCACGTTCCTGACATGTCTAAATGATACTGGCCCTATGAGAACACTGTGGATGTGAAATCATTTCCTCAAGTTATCTTTTTGGCCTGCTGGTTTTAATCTAATAATGGGATATCCAAAGTGAATCTAACGGAGTGACATGATTGTGCATCTGTTGGGGTGAATCAGAGACAGCTAGAGCAAGGGCAGACACGTGCTAAACTCATCTGTCTTAAGAGCTGAAGCAAGCAGCAGTGTTGCTAGCAGAGCTACTGCACATCTGTACACGTGGCTCCAATGGCTCTGACCTGTTTTTTTCCTAGTATGAACCTAATACACGAGACAAGTTAAAAAATCAGAGTTGGCCAGGCATGGTGGCTCATGCCTGTAATCCTAGTACTTTGGGAGCCAATGTGGGTGGATCACTTGAGGCCACGATTTCGAGACCAGCCTCAGCAACACAGTGAAACCCCATCTCTACTAAAAATACAAAAATTAGGTGGGTGTGGTGGCAGGCACCTGTAATCCCAGCTATGGGAGGCTGAGGTTGCAGTGAGCCAAAATCAGGCCACTGCACTTCAGCCTGGTTGACAGAGCAAGGCTGTCTCAAGAAAAAAAAAAAGGGAAAGGAAAGGAAAGAAAATCACAGCTTGTTAGCCACTTGCAGCTAAACACATATGCACAAAAATTATTCAGTAAAAGCAAAACAGTTTTGGTGTATCTTGAGATTTTGTTTTATATCCAAAGGAAGACTATATCTTTCATCTTTGAACTAGTCTTTGGAAAATGCCGTCTATATAACAAATGTTATAGTTTTCTTCTAATTGGGTCTTGAGGTCTCTCAGGAGAATGGCTATAAACTCTACCTCACTCTAATGGGGCTCTAGGGGAGGGGCCTGTGGGTCTTTAGAGTAGCCTTTCACCAGAAATTTCTTTTTTCTGGACCACAGCCTAATGCTCAAGTATCTGACCCATGACCAGGTGTCTCACAGGAAACTTGTTTATACTAGCAGATGGCCTAGTAACTTTTGTCTGACCTGTGTGCAGTTTATTCCTACCATGATACCACTCTTTTTTTTTTTTTTTTTGAGACGCAGTCTTGATCTGTTACCAGGCTGGAGTGCAGTGGCACGACCTTGGCTCACTGCAATCTCCACCATCTGGGTTCAAGCAATTCCCCTGCCTCAGCCTCCCAAGCAGCTGGGACTACAGGCGTGCACCACCATGCCCAGCTAATTTTTGTATTTTTAATAGAGTCAGAGTTTCACCATGTAGTCCAGGATGGTTTTGATCCCTTGACCTCATGATCTGTCCTACTCAGCCTCCCAAAGTTCTGGGATTACAGGCATGAGCCACCACACCTGGCCTTTTTTTTTTTTTTTTTTTTTGAGACAGGATCTTGCTCTGGTGCCTAGGCTGGAGTGCAGTGGCAGGATCAGAGCTCACCACAGCCTTAACCTCCTAGGCTCAAGCAATCCTCCCACCTCAGCCTCCCGAGTAGCTGGGACTAGAGGCATGTCCCACTACATCTGGCTAATTTGTATATGACATATGTTTTTGTAGAGGTAGGGTTTTGCCATGTTGCCCAGGTTGATCTTGAACTCCTGAGCTGAAGCAATTCACCTGCCTTGGCCTCCCAAAGTGCTTTGATTACAGGTGTGGGTTACCACACCCAGCCAATGTACATTTAATTATCAAAGTACTATCTATACTATTTTATGGAAGTACTAATTATCAAAGTGCAATAGAGGTTTTGTTGTTGTTGTTGTTGTTGTTTTTCTTTTGAGACAGAGTTTCACTCTTATTGCCCAGGCTGGAGTGCAGTGGTGCAATCTCGGCTCACTGCAACCTCCACCTCCCAGGTTCAAGCGATTCTCCTGCCTCAGCCTCCCAAGTAGCTGGGATTACAGACATGTGCCACCACACCCAGCTAATTTTATATTTTTAGTAGAGACTAAAATGGTCTCTCCATGTTGGTCAGTCTGGTCTTGAACTCCTGACCTCAGGCGATCCATCCGCCTTGGCCTACCAAAGTGCTGGGTTTGCAGGTGTGAGCCACTGTGCCCGGCCAATAGAGGTTTTCAAACTTTTTGTAGATATTTTTGAAAGATACAGTCTTCCTTTAAGAAAAGAGACAAGGCTGGGTGTGGTGGCTCATCCCTGTAATCCCAGCACTTTGGGAGGCCAAACAGGTGGATTGCTTGAGCTCAGGAGTTTGAGAGTAGCCTGCCCAAATGGCAAAACCTCGTTTCTACTAAAAATACAAAACAAATTAGCTGGGTATGGTGGCGCATGCCTATAGTCAAAGCTAATACAGAGGCTGAGGTGGGAGGAACACCTGAGCCTGGGAGGTTGAGGCTGCAGTGAGCTGTGATTTTGCCACTGCACTCCAGCCTGGGCAACAGAACGAGACCCTGTCTCAAAGTGAAAACAAAAACAAAAACAAAAAAATGAAACAAGAGAAAAAAAAAACAAGAAAGAAAATGGTAAGGGGGAAGTGCCTATTTATTAAGCTTTTGTTGTAAATAGTAACTTGCATATCAGATGTTTACTGTAATATTCTTGAAGCCTTGCCAGGCCTACAGCTTGCTGTGTGCTTTTCAACTCTATTTCATTTATTTGGGAAATCATATATCAATGTATTTATTCATTCCCAGCTCTAACCATGGAATACTGGGAATGTCCCTTTCTATGAAGGAGGTTTGCTGGCCACAACAGGAATATTCATGAACATGGAGGTACTTTGTTGAAGTTACACTAATTTTTTTACTCTTCCCCACTCTCAGCCTAGCTGGTCTGCTCACTGTATTCTCTCCATCCTTCAGCACCCTTCCATCTCTTCCTTCATCTTAAAAATCTTTCCTTTAATTTCAACAGTGCTGCCTGGGTTTGTCATTTCAGGGGTTGGGCATGTTCCAGGATCTGTCTATAGACTTCTCTCAGGAGGAATGGGAGTGCCTGGACGCTGCTCAGAAGGACTGATACAGAGATGTAATGATGGAGAACTATAGCAGCCTGGTCTCACTAGGTAAGGATGTCTATCCCCAAATAACTCATGAATTTTGGGTGTAGCTTTCACTTGTCTGGGTGACTTTTCACCTGCTGCTTAGGGAATTGTTTTGTGTTTTGTAGATTAATAGATGGGCAGCTCTTTGGGGTCCCTCCATCTTCTCCATGCTTCAGACCTTTACACCTTCCTCTAGTCCTTCGTGACTACTAAGGGACTAACTTTGAATTCAGGAACAGCACGAGTATGTCTTACTTTTCTTTCTTTCTCTCTTTTTCTTTCTTTCCTTCCTTCCTTCCTTCCTTCCTTCCTTCCTTCCTTCCTTCTTTCTTTCTTTCTTTCTTTCTTTCTTTCTTTCTTTCTTTCTTTCTTTCTTTCTTTCTTTTTCTTTCTTTCTTTTTTGAGATGAATTCTCACTCTATCACCCAGGATGGAGTGCAATGGCACGATCTCGGTTCACTCCAACCTTCATCTCAGGTTCAAGCGATTCTCATGTCTCAGCCTCCTGAGTAGCTGGGATTACAGGCACCTGCCACCACACCTGGCCAATTTTTGTGTTTTTAGTAGAGACGGGGTTTCACCATGTTGGTCAGGCTGGTCTTGAACTCCTGACCTCAAGCAATCCACCTGTTTTGGCCTCCCAAAGTGCTGGGATTACAGGAGTGAGCCACTATGCCTGCCTGGCCACCTTACTTCTTTTCTTATAAACAGGTCTCTCTATCCCAAAGCCTGATGTGATTTCCTTACTGGAGCAAGGGAAAGAGCCCTGGATGGTTTCAAGGGACATACCGGGAGGATGGTGCCCAGGTGAGTAAGGACTGAGCAGATGGGGAAGGCACTGCTGTTTAGAACCCAGCCCATCAGGGAGGCAGCGCCGTAAAGGTATTGGTTGGGGAATCTCTTCTGCAAGGTCCCATGTAAGAGTTGTGGCCTAAGACACATGGAGAAAAGTCAAGATACCACCCCCCCACCCACAAACACACTCTTTTTTAAAAAATTTTTTTAATTTGAGAGAGAGTCTTGCTCAGTCACCCAGGCTGGAGAACAGTGATGCGATTTTGGCTCACTGCAACCTCCGCACCCAGGTTGAAGCGATTCTCCTGCCTCAGCCTCTAAAGGAACTGGCATTATAGGCACCTGCCACCATGCCCAGCTAATTTTTGTATTTTTAGTAGAGACGGCATTTCACCATGTTGGCTAGGCTGGCCTTGAACTCCTGACGTCAGGTGATCCACCTGCCTTGGCCTCCGAAAGTGCTGGTATTACAGGTGTGAGCCACTGTGTCTGGCCGAGAACCCCCTTTTACCTCCACCTCTTCAGTCTGTGCTACCCTCTTGTCATAATTTCTTTCCATTTCAAAGAATAACATTCCCTTCTTCAGAAGCCATCCTGTTTCCTCTATCTTGGAGCTACTTCTTTCACTTTAAAATTTAAACCCGTGTTGTTGCTTTAAAAACAAATCTTTTAAAATATATTTATTTTTCATACTGATCCTTGACTTTTTTTTGCCTTGTATTTTCTTGGCTAGTTTTCCTTTAATGCAGCCACTTCATGCATCAATAGATATTCATTCACTATTTTTTTTTTTTTTTTTTGGATACAGAGTCTCACTCTGTAGCCCGGGCTGGAGTGCAGTGCGCGACCTCGTCTCACTGAAAGCCAATAAGAAGAGCTTGGGGATGACCTCCCTACAAGCACAGCAAAACCTTTCCTGCGCATTTCTGCGCTGGAACGCCTACGCGCCTCGCCAAACCAAAACTTTACTACCACCCTTAGTGCCGTTTCCTGCACTTTCTTGGAGAGTTGTACCAGGTGCTGGAGACCCTCCCACCTGGTCCATGCCCGCCTCCCGGTGAGCACCGAGACACAAACTTGTGCACTGCCAGTCTTGTTATCAACAAACAGGCTAGTAAATTATAAAAAATAAAATAAAGGAAATGTAGCTGGGCGTGGTGGCATGCGCCTGTAATCCCAGCTACTCCGGAGGCTGATGCAGGAGAATCGCTTGAACCCAGGAGGTGAAGGTTGCAGTGAGCCGAGATCGCACCACTGCACTCCAGCCTGGATGGCAAGAGCGAAACTCCTTCTCGAAATAATAAATAAAATAAAGGAAATGGGGCCGGGCATGGTGGCTCACGCCTGTAATTCCAGCACTTTTAGTGGCCGAGGCGGGCGGATCACTTGAGGTCAGAAGTTCGAGACCAGTCTGGTCAACATGGTGAAACCCTGTCTCTACTATAAATAAACAATTAACCAGGCATGGTGGTGGGCGCGTGTAATCCCAGCTATTTGTAAGGCGGAGGCACAAGAATCGCTTGAATCCCAGAGGCAGAGGTTGCAGTGAGCCGAGCTCGTGCCACTGCGCTCCAGCCTGGGCGACAGAGCGAGACTCCATCTTAAAATAAAATAGGCCGGCTGAGGGTGCTCATGCCTGTAATCACAGCACTTTGGATGCTGAGGCGGGTGGATTGCCTGAGCTCAAGATTTCAAGGCCATCCTGGCCTACATGGTGAAACCCCATCTCTACTAAAAATGCAAAAATTAGCCGGGCATGGTGGAGCATGCCTGTAATCCTAGCTACTTGGGAGGCTGAGGCATGAGAACCGTTTCAACACAGGAGGCGGAAGTTGCAGTGAGCGGCGACCGCCACATTGCACTCCAGCTTGGGCAAGAGGATTGAAACTCTGTCTCAAAAAAAAAAAAAAAAAAAAAAAAACAAATAAATAAATATAAAAGAAATAGACAAAGCAAACCTTAATGCATGAACTCAAACAAATGCTTTCACTGCCAGGCTCCATCTTTGCAAAACTGAACCTAGGACAATGTGCACGTTTCTAACTAGCAATTCTGGAGGATCAGGGAGGCAGCGTGAGCTTGCTTTTCTGCAATTTAATTGACTGGTCAGTAAAGTCAGTGTTTGCAGGCATTTTCAATGTTCTGTAGTGGGCTTCAGTTCCTATGGCAGTGTGGCAGGCCAGGTTTCCAATAGCAACCAGAACAGTTTCTACTAACCCTTTACTATAATTTTGATGAATGCATAAGTTAACGTTAAAGAAACGGAGAAACTTGTGCCTGAGTATCAGGGATGGAATGTGAAAACAAACCCATTGAGACCCCACCTGGGTTTTCTCAGACCCTAAAGTCTGATCGAATAATGATAGCATTGGTACACATTCACCTCGGCCTGTCTTAAGATTCAGAAACTTTCCAAGACTCTAGAGAAATCTTTCCAGACGCTAGACCCGAGTTAAAGATAAGATGTTGATTGAATGAAACACTCCTACTTGTAGGTGCAATCCCACGTGGAGCTTAAGACGTATATAAGCACTAGAAAAAAAAAACTTGTAACTTTGAGTTGATCTGGTGAATTACCTGGCGCTTCTCCCTGTAAGTGGCTGCAGAAATAAACTTCCTTCTTTCCCAGTCTGTCTGTGTCTTGTTATTGAACAATTGCAATGGACCTGCCCAGCAAAGTCCTCTTTTGTGTGGTTATCTGGGACTCCTTTTGGAGGGAACATTTAAAATTTTCCATTTCAAAGCATTCTGTTGGCACTCTTACACTGTTTTTCTCTGCCTACCCTCGGACCTGAGTTCTCCTGGACGCGAATCTCCAGCCACAGAGCCTAGAAGCCCATTCCTCCACATTCTGTGACTGTTCCCCAAACACAGGGAGAATTTTCAGAAAATAAGCCTAAAAATCTTGCCATTCTTTGCAATAAAACCCCACATTACAAACTGCTGAAAACAGGATTTTAGCCTGAATAGGTTTTTCCTCTATTTGAAACCCTTTACAATTTTGGAGGGAAGTTTCCAAATCAATCAGTAAGTACCCCCCATCCCAGGTTTATCCTTATGTAAAGTGCCCCCTTTGCACATGCAAGATTGAATAAACCTTGAAAATATTATGCTAAGTGAAAGAAGCCGGTCACAAAGGACCACATGTTATGTAATTCCATTTAAATAAAATGTCCAAAATAGACCAATACATAGAAGCAGAAAGTAGATTTGTGGTGGCCCAGGGTTAGGGGAGTTGGGGGGAAATGGAGGGATATGGTGTTTACTTCAGGGTAATGAAAATGATCTAAAATTTATTGTGGTGATGTTTGCATAACAGTGCAAATATACTGAAAAACATTGAATTTTACACTTTAAATCAGTGGCTTCTGTGGTATGTTATCAATATTTCTCAATAAAACTTCAAAAAAAAAGCGCCTATGTGTCTTTTTGTGTATTATTCCTCCAGAGTACAGTCCATAGTTTTTACATTTGATGAAGAAATTAAGATTTTGTTTCTTCTTCTTCTATTTTTTTTTTTTTTGAGACAGAATCTCCCTCTGTTGTCCAGACTGGAGTGCATTGGCACAATCTTGGCTCAGTGCAACCTCCAGGATAATTTTTGTATTTTTAGTAGAGACAGCGTTTCACCATGGTGGCTAGACTGGTCTCAAACTTCTGACCTCAAGTGAGTCCCCCACCTTGGTTCCCAAAATTGCTGGGATTACAGGCGTGAGCCACCGCACCCAGCCCAAGATTTAGTTTCTGTTGTTTTGATGCCCTAGGGCCATCTTATTCTACCTTAATTTCTGACGCATCATCTCAGTGGAAATTTTACATTAGGCCCCAAAGTATTTTCCTCTTTTTAAGATTTTATCAGCTGAGTACAGTGGCTCACACCTGTAATCTCAACACTTTGGGAGGCCAAGGTGGGAGAATGAGTTGAGCCCAGGAGTTCAAGACCAGTCTCTGCAACATAGTGAGACACACATATCTACAAAAAAAATTTTAATTAGGTGGGCATATTGGTGCATGCCTGTGGTCTCAGCTTACTACATAGGCTGAGGGAGGATCACTTGAGCCCAGGAGGCTGAGGTTACAGTGGCCATGATTATACCACTGCACTCCAGTCTGGGTGACAGAGCGATAGCCTGTCTTAAAAAAAAAATTATTGGAATTTTTTTTTTAGAAAACAAAGTATACACTTAGTGACTTGATACAAATGAATGAATTTGATAATCTACAGAAAAAAACAAATAAATAAATAAAAACTCAATGCCATTCTTCTTATGTGAATCTCTGGTGTCTCTGAATTATAAGAATTGTGAATTATGATTAATAACAAAAATGCATGACAAGGACTCATTAAGGGATAGGCATTAATAAACTGCAATGCACACTTACTGGAGTAAGGCCTTTAAAGATGTACAAGAAAAAGAAAGAAAAGGCATTGAAAAATTGCGTTGCCTACCAAAACGCTAAAGTTTACCTAAGTCCATTAATCGGCACACACAGGCAATGGGTGTGTAAAAGGGTCAACACAGTCTCCTATGAATGTATCCTTTTATTAATAGGTCTGTGGGGGTAAGAGATGAAGTTCTATAGATCCTGGAATCAGGGATGGGGAATCTGTGAGGTCCCTGAGGTGAGAGATGACGATCTGTAGATTAGTGATGGGTGGTCTTTGGGATAGTGATGAGGTCCATGGAATCAATGATTGTGGGTATTTAGGGTCAGTGATGAGGGAATCTGGTGTCAGTGATGGGATGTGTGTGGAATCAATATGTGAAAGCCAGATTTGTGGAGTCATCTCTCAGGCTGACACATCCTGATCTGTGTGTCAGTGGTGGAAATTCTATGGGGTCAGAGTGTGACTGTCAGGTCCCTGACACTGTGTGTTCTGGGTCTGGCCAAGTGCACAGATTCCCTTGCCTTGTCCTGGCTGGGGAGGCCCTTCTCAAGGACTCCTCACATGAAGGGTGGGTTGGTGGTGGGTTTTGTTTTTGTTTTTGTTTTGCAGTGGAGGTGGGGGTGGGTTAGCTTTTTCTTTAGGGTTTAGTTTTGCCTCTTAGAGACCACAGACACATGCAGCTTTTAGGAAGAAATTTTTGTCTGGGTGGTTGCTAGGTCCTTTGGGCCAAGCCATCTAATGGGAGTAAAACTGACCATTCCCTCAGCGAGGTTCAGATCTAGACGGTCATTTTAAGGTGTCCTCAAGGTGGCGTGCAAGTGGGTTGTGGCTTCGAGTGGCAGGTGTGCGGGAAGAAACAACTGAGAAGACCCAGGAGCGCTCCTAGGCTGGATCTGTCACAGCTGGAAGAACAGCCTCCCAAACCCATCAGGCGCCAATGGGAGGTACCTCTGGGCTGTGAGAGGCTGGTGGAGTTGGGACCTCCAGACCTAGAGATTCTGGGTACAGAAGCCTATTACTGCCAGACGCTGAGGCGTTGCCATGGGATCCAAGGGCGTTTCGGGTCAGCTCAGAGCCTTTCTCAGATAATTGTTTCGGTAACTGGGGAGCTGCTGTCCAGCGCACGCCTCTATGAAGGCTTAATGTTCTGTCTCCCGCAGAGTCTTCTTTGGTCTGAGAGCCACTTGTTTCTTACATCCTTGTGCTAATCTCACCATCTGCTCCTACATACCCCAGGCATTTGCCACATGCTGGTCCTCTCTTTCCTGACAGGCGGGCCATCTCTCCAGCTTCTGTGAGGACAGTTCAAATTATGGAGGAGGGGGCAGGTGCAGGGCAGCAGTGCTGAGGGGAGTACCATGCAGTTGGGGGAGCAGGGACTCATTTTTCTTTGTAGCTCAGATTCCTAAGCCTGTGACTTTGAGTATCGGTGTCTTCCTTGCAATGTTTCAATCTGAGGTTATTGGGGAGAGTGCAGAATTGGAGCCCGATGGAAGACTGGTGGGGAGAGGGGTGGGTGGAGGGAACATGGAGAATGTGTCAGGTGGTGTCTATTCCTGACACCTTACTTTGCCTGCTGGAGTTTCCCAGTCTGTTCCAGATGCACTCTCTCGACCCTGAAGGGACCTGATGGAGGATGTTTGTTGCCAGTGTGTGCTCCCCTGGACTCAATTGGAATTGGTCCCACAAAGTGTTTTTATTTATTTATTTATTTATTTATTTATTTGAAGGGAGTCTCGCTCTGTCACCCAGGCTGGAGTGCAGTGTGGCAATCTCAGCTCACTGCAACCTCTGATTCCCAGGTTCAAGTGATTCTCCTGTTTCAGCCTCCCTAGTAGTTGGGACTACAGGTGTCCGCCACCACACCTTGCTAAATTTTTTATTTTTAGTAGAGGCAGGGTTTCACAATATTGGTCAGGCTGGTCTCGAACTCCTGACCAGGTGATCGACCCACCTTGGCCTCTCAAAGTGCTGGGATTACAGGCGGGAGCCATCACACCCCGCCAATCCCACAAATTTAGGCATTATGGTGAATTGCTACTTTTGAATCACTTATTTTTTACTTGTGTTTTTCCCCCTCCTTTTATTGATTGATTGACACAGAGTCTTGCTGTGTCACCCAGACTGAACCACAGTGTCACAATCTCGGTTCATTGCAACCTCTGCCTCCCAGGTTCAAGCGATTCTCCCACCTCAACCTTCCAAGTAGCTGGGATTACAGGCGCATGCCATCATGCCTGGCTAATTTTTGTATTTTCAGTAGAGACAGGGTTTCACCATGTTGGCTAAACTGGTCTCGAACTTCTGACCCCAAATGATCCGCCTGCTTTGGTCTCCCAAAATGCTGACATAGACATGAGCCTCCTTGCCCGGACTTCCCTCCTTTTCCTTCAGGGATTTTAAATGTTTTCTTTCCTCCATCTATTTAATTATATGTGATTGCCTTGAGGATTTCAGCTTGAATTAAAATTACATATATTTACCTGTCTTTATTAATATTTAAACATATTAAAATAATACATGTTCATAATGAAAATGAAACATTACAAATAAATACACAGGAAAGGCAGTATTCCCCCTCCAGTTCCACTCTTGAAATAACCAGTTAACAAGATGATGAGCAACTTTCCATGATGTTCTCCAAGATTCATGTAAGTATTGGCCAGCAAACAACAGAATATACAGGCCAGGCGTGGTGGCTCATGCCTGTAACCCCAGCACTTTGGGAGACTGAAGCGGGTGGATCTTTTGAGGTTAGGAGTTCGAGACTAACCTGGCCAACGTGGTGAAACCCCATCACTACAAAAAATACAAAAATTATTTGGGCACGGTGGTGAGGGCCTTAATCCCAGCTACTTGGGAGGCGGAGGCACGAGAATCTCTTGAACCCGGGAGGAGAAGTTTGCAGTGAGCCAATATCGCATTACTGCCCTCCAACCTGGATGACAGACTGAGATTCCATCTCAATAAATAAGTAAATACATAAAATAAAGAGAAAAAAAGAAAAATGAAAGAAAGATAAAGAAAGAAAGAAAGAAGAAAGAAAGAAGAAAGAAAGAAAGAAAGAAAGAAAGAGAAAGAAAGGAAGAAAGAAAGAAAAAGAGAGAAGTCGTGTGCTCAGGTTGCTAAGATCGATGGTAAGAACAAATCCTCTAGCGGTGAAAATGTAAGAAGGAAAAAGAAATTTCTGTTAGTCTTGTTTGTTGCACCCCAAGCTCTAAAAAGTACAGCCATATGTGTGATAAGTGCTTAGTTAAGATGAAAAAGGCATTAAATTTGTGAGTGGAAATCAAACAGAAATGTGTTCTGATTGAAAGCAATTGGGTCAATGCTACCCAAGTTTCAGGCATCCACTGCGGGTCTTAAACACATCTCCTGCAGATAAGGGAGGGCTATTATATAACGTTTCTTTCTTTTTTCTTTAATTATAAAGCATTCTCCTTTTTTAATATAAAAATTGGCCACATATATCACTTTAGGTATAAAGATATTAGGATACCTTTATAGTAGATAAAGTGCTGACACATTCTTTGTAAGAGTTAAAGTATCTTTCATTATATGAGCATTTAAGATATTAAAGTACTTTTGCCACCAAAAATAGTGCTTCTGTAAATATTCTTTTACTTATAACTTTGTTAGTTTTTACTTCTGCTGAAACAAATTGCATGAGGAAACAAGTGTATGTGTGTAAAGTGTAATATATGTATATATATTTAATATGGGTATATACAACTTAATATATACACATACATACAATAACATATACAATTTTTTTGTTTTGTTTTTTGAGATAGAGTTTTGCTCTCTCATCCAGGCTGGAGTGCAGTGTCATGATCTCGGCTCACTGCAACTTCCACTGCTTGGTTCTCCTGCCTCAGCCTCCTGAGTAGCTGGGAATACAGGCATCTGCCACCATGTCCAGCTAACTTTGTTTTTTTAGTGGAGATGGGTTTTTACCATGTTGGCCAGGCTGCTCTCGAACTCCTGACCTCAAGTGATCCACCCACCTTGGCCTCCCAAAATGCTGGAATTACAGGTGTGAGCCACCGTGCCCAGTCTAACATATACAATTTAATGTATATACAAATATAGGTTGGGTGCAGTGGCTCTCACTCCTGTAATCCTAGCACTTTGGGGAGCTGAGGTAGGGGATTGTTTGAACCCAGGAGTTTGAAATCAGCCTGGGCAACATGGTGAAACCCTATCTGTACAAAAAACACAAAAATTAGCTGGGTGTACTTGCAGGTGCCTGTGGTCCCAGCTACTCAGGAGACTGAGGTGGGAGGATAGCTGGAACCTGGGAGGTCGAGGCTGCAGTGAGTTGTGATCATGCCATTGCACCCCAGTGTGGGTGACAGAGTGAGACCCTGTCTCAGACAAAAACAAAAACAAACCAAATATAATGTTTATGTGCTACACACTTGATTTCTTTCCAAAGGGTTATATAACACTGTATTTTCACCAGCAATATATGCAACTACTCATTTCCTACATACTATCACTTGTGTGCAGTCAAGGAAACTTAGTAGGCCTGAATTGCCCAAACCTGGCATACTCCAAAGAATGGTGTGACTCTATCCTAGTTCCCAGGAAATAACCTCTAAGTCCTCGGACTCTCCTGCCTATCTGGGAGTTAACAACGTGATTTATTATGGGGACCTTGGACCATGCAGTCTCAGCTTGACCTTGGGAAGGGTGGAGACGGAGAAACTAATGTCATCCAAATGGGTGCTCTTGTCCATGTGACCAACCTCCAGTAAAATGCTCAACACCAAGGCTCAGGTAAGCTTTTTGTTGGGGAGTATATTCTATACTGTTTGCCAAATATCGCTGGGTGAATTAAGCACTGTCCACACGATGTCACTGGGAGAGGACAACTGGAAGCTTGTGCTTTGTCTCTCCTGGACTCTGCCCTGTGCACCTTTTTCTGCTGCTGATTTTAATCTGTATCTTTTCGTTGTAATAAACTATGAGTAAAACAGCTTCACTCGATTTTGTGAGTCTTTCTAATTAATCACTACACCTTTGGGACCTCAGAACACAATGTTGTTTCTTCTTTAATTGAATTTTCCATGTTATGTAAGAAACCTATGTGCATAAATGAAAAATCACAAACTAAGAAAGAGCTTTCCATGCAGTCTACTCCCCCACCCTGTTTCTCCAATACTCCCAGATCTACTTCCCGAATAATCAAATGTCTAAATTTTCTAAACTATTTCTAATCTATATATCTGAGTGCTTATCTCTATATTATATAATAGGTAGATCCTGCTCCTTCTCAATATATCAACTTGATATATTACCTGATGGCTTCCTGTTCTGATAGCTGATGACTTGGCTGACACTCACCCCTTACCCCAGTGCCTGGACCACTTTTCAAACATGGTGCTCTCACCATTTTCTTTTTCTTTCCTTTTCTTTTCTTTTTTTTTTTTTTTTTTAGACAGAATATTGCTCTGTCACCCAGGCTAGAGTGCAGTGGCATGATCTGGGCTCACTGCAACCTCTACCTCCCAGATTCAAGTGATTCTCCTGCCTCAGCCTCCGGAGTAGCTGGGATTACAGGGGCACGCCACCACGCCTGGCTAATTTTTGTATTTTTAGTAGAGACGGGGTTTCACCCTCTCAGCCAGGTTGGTCTCGAATGCCTGACCTCATGATCCACCCATCTTGGCCTCCCAAAGTGCTGGGACCGCACCCGGCCACTCTCACTATTTTCAATGGCTCTCTTGGTCACCTTTCACTTGGGGGAGTAGCTGAGGCAGGAGAATCACTTGAACCCGGGAGATGGGGGTTGCAATGAGCTGAGATGGTGCCATTGCACTGCAGCCTGGGCAAAACGGTGAAACTCTGTCTAAAAAATAAATAAATAAATAAATAAATAAATAAATAAATAAAACAGAAAAGGAAAGAAAAGAAGCTCTCCCTCCATATACCTGTAAGGATCATTGTATTAATTTTCTTCATGTCTTAACATGATTCTTGCCTTGTCAGAGATCATCCTATCTGAAATTGAAACTATTTACCACTTCCCTTTTTTTTCCATAGCACTTAAAACTTTTTTTTTTTTTTTTTGAGATGGAGTCTCGCTCTGTCACCCAGGCTGGAGTGCATTGGTGTGATCTTGGCTCACTGCAACCTCCGCCCCCCAGGTTCAAGTGATTCTCCTGCCTCAGCCTCCCAAGTAGCTGGGATTACAGGCATCTGCCACCATGCCTGGCTAACATTTTTTTTTGTGTGTGTGTGTTTTAGTAGAGACGGGGCTTCACCATGTTGGCCAGGCTGGTCTTGAACTCCTTACCTCAGGTGATCCAAACCACCTCGGACTCCCAAAGTGTTGGGATTACAGGGGTGAGCCACCACACCCAGCCCTGGCTAATTTTTGTATGTTTAGTGGAGGCAGGTTTTCACCATATTGGCCAGGCTGATCTCGAACCCCTGACCTCAAGTGATCTCCCTGCCTCGGCCTCCCAAAGTGTTGGGATTACAGGCATGAGCCACTGTGCCCGGACTGCTTTTTGACAAATCATCTCTGTTCTTACATTATGTCCACTAGAATGTAAACTTGATGAGAGCAGGAGATATTGTCAATTTTGTTCAATGCTATTTATCCCTAGAGCCTAGAACTGTACCATGCACATGGTAAGGAGACAAATAGTTGTTGAATGAATATATTGAGCAGCTGTTCTCAGACTTTTTGGTTTCAGAAAATCTTTACTCTCTGTTTCTTTACTCCCGACCTCAGGTGATCTGCCCACCTTGGCCTCTCAAAGTGCTAGGATTATAGGAGTGAGCCAAAACACCCACCACCCAAATAATTTTTGTATGGTAGTAGGCACTGGGTTTTGCCATGTTGGCCAGGCTGATCTTGAACCCCCGAACTCAAGCGATCCCCCACCTCAGCCTCCAAAAGTGCTGAGATTACAGGCTGAGCCACTGCACCTGACTAAATAAACCAAAAACTTTAGATAAGTGAATTTGGAGGAAATACTTATAACAGATAAAATGGACAAACAGATAATTCTAATTTACTGTCTCTCCGGCTTAATAAAATATTAGTCAATACCCTAAGAAGAAAGGAACAAAATCTAAAAATTCACCATTCACAAACACAGATAGTCAGAAAACAAAGTCAAAACCTAAGAACTTGTTGACCTTATGTCTCCTCTGAAATCAGCTCTTGAATGTAATGTGTTGAACTAGTATTGACCTCAGATTAGGAAATTTTTAAAATATTTTTTAAAGTTGCACTTTTTGGAATTTAAAATTAATCCAGATTATGTAATATATAACATTTGGAATTTACCAATCAATACTCTATCATTTTATTTTTCACTCTTCAAATAATTTCTTGTTCAAGAGTTTAAAATGCTTTTAAAATTAATAGAATCTGCAGGCTATGGTCTGTAGAGACTGTCTCTACAAAAAATAAAAATATATATTATTTTAAAATATATATAAAATATATATTTATTTAAATGTATATGTTTCAAGTATATAAAATATATTTTTAAAATTTCATTTTTTTGCCGGATCGTATGGTAAGCGTATGTTTAGTCTGGCAGGAACTTGCAAAACTGCCTTCCACAGTGGCTGTCCCACTTTGCATTCTCAGCAGAAATAGAGATGAGTTCCTGTCGCTCCGTATCTTCACCAGCATTTGGTGTTGGTGTTTGCATTCAAGCCAGTCTAAGAGATGTGTAATGGTATCACATCGTTGTTTTAATTTGAATCCCCTAGTGACATATGGTGTTGAGCATCTTTTCAGAGGTCTAAGAAATGTGCTGGGCATGGTGGCACATGCCTGTGGTCCCAGCTACTCAGAAGGCTGAGGTGGGAGGGTTACTTGAGCCCTGGAGGTTGGGGCTGCATTGAGCCATGATTGCACCACTGCACTCCAGCCTGAGTGACAGAGCTAAACCCTGTCTCAAAAAGATAAATAAGGCCAGGCGCAGTGGCTCATGCCTGTAATCCAAGCACTTTGGAAGGCCAAGGCAGGTGGATCATGAGGTCAGCAGATCAAGACCATCCTGGCTGACACAGTGAATCCCCGTCTCAACTAAAAATACAAAAAATTAGCCAGGCGTGGTGGCTGGTGCCTGTAATCCCAACTACTCAGGAGGCTGAGGCAGGAGAATCGCTTGAACCTGGGAGGCGGAGGTTGCCATGAGCCGAGATCGGGCCATTGCACTCCAGCCTGGGTGACAGAGTGAGACTCCATCTCAATAAAAATAAATAAATAAATAAATAAATAATAAATAACTGACTTAATTTTTAGAACAGTTGTAGGTATACACAAAAATAGAGCAGAAGGTATATTGAGCTCTAATATCCACCTCACACCATAGTACACACACTTCCTCTATTATCATCTTGTTAGTGTGGTAATTTGTTATGCTTGATGAGCCAATATTGATATTATTAAGTTCATGGCTAATATTAAGATTCACTCTCTGTGTTCTACCATTTATGGGCTTTGACAAATGCTTAAGAACATATATCCACAATTATAGGGTCACACAGAAAAGTTTCACTGCCCTAAAAATCTTCTGTGCTCCACCTATTCATCCTTCCCTCTGCTCAAGCCTCTGGCAACCACTGAACTTTTTATAATTCCATCTGCCTAGTTTTCCCTTTTCTAGTATTCCATATAATTGGAACTCTATACTATGTGGCCTTTTTGTATTGGCTTCTTTCACTTAGAAATACATGTTTAAGATTCCTCCATGTCTTTTCATGCCTTGGTAGTTCATCTCTTTTTATTCCTGAAGAATATTCCATTGTATGAATGTTTCAGAGTTAGTTTATCCACTTCTCTATTGCAGGATATCTTGGTTACTTCCAATCTTTGTCAGTTGTGTATAAGCTGCTATAACATTCATGTGCAGGATTTGAGTGGATATAAGTTTTCAAATATTTGGGTATATACCAAAGAATGCAATTGCCAGATCGTATTTAAACATACAAGGATGCAGGTGTCATGCACACAAATATGTATGTATATGTCATGCTCATATACGATTTTAAATGCATATATGTGTTCTATGGATATGTAAGTATTTCTCTATTTTCACAGAAATGTCACTCTAAATCAGTACCTAGGGAGGGTCATCATTTTCTTTATCTACAAATCAAGACACAGTATGAGTGGCTGCACCCAATTTGGTAAGTCCTCTATTATTGAGGATGTTTTCCTGTTTCCCTTGTCATTGTTGTTGCTGTTTTGTTTTGAGACAGAGTTTCACTCTTTTGAGTCAAGTGGTGTGATCTCAGCTCACTGTAGCCTCCCGAGTAGCTGGGATTATAGGTGCCCACCACCACGCCTAGCTAATTTTTGTATTTTTAGTAGAGATGAGGTTTTAGCATGTTGGCCAGGCTGGTCTTAGCTCCTGACCGCAGGTGATCCATCTGCCTCAGCCTCCCAAAATGCTGAGATTACAGGCGTGAGCCACCATGCTTGGCTGCTTTCATCATTTCAGACTGAGCTTGGAGAAGAACCTGAGGAAAAACATGACTTTAAAATTTTGATGAATGGAGAAATCTCTTTCCATTCACCTTCCTTTCCTCTATTTCATTCTTATTTTAAAATATGCAAACAAAGGTATGGATACATCAATTATTAAATAAACGTCTGTGTGATATCTATCCAGGTGAAGAAATAGAGCACTATCACCACCAAGAAGTCCTCTGTATGCCCCTAACTGATCCTAAAGTCTTCCTTCCCCTTTTTAGTAACAGATATAACAGATATCCACATTACCTGTGGATATCTGCCATCCTCTCCTTGGTTCTCTTTATAATTTTATTATGTATTTTATATATTTTTTTCTGTTTTGGAGATGGAGCCTTACTCTGTTGCCCAGGCTGGAGTGTAGTGGCATGATCTTGACTCACTGCAACCTCCGCCTCCCAGATTCAAGCGATTCTCATGACTCAACGTCCCAAGTAGCTGGGATTACAGGCATGGGCCATGTGCCTCCATGCCTGGATAATTTTTGTATTTGTAGTAGAGATGGGGTTTTGCATGTTGGTCAGGCTGGTTTAGAACTCCTGAGCTCAATGCCTGGCCTTATTATGCATTTTTTATATGCCTAAAGTAAAGTCTGATTTTGCCTGGTTTTTCTCTTACATAATTGGAGTAAAAGTCTGTATCCTGGTGCATCTGGCACCTTTTACTCAATATTAAGTATTTAAGATTCACACTTAGCATTGTTTCTGCATTCTATTAAAACAGTACACCAGCCAGGCATGATGGCTCACACCTATAATCCCAGCACTTTGGGAGGCCGAGGCAGGCAGATCACTTGAGGTCAGGAGTTCCAGACCACCCTAGCCAACATGGTGAAACTCCATCTCTATTAAAACTACAAAAATTAGGCCACGTGGTGGCTAATGACTGTAATCTCAGCACTTTGGGAGGCCAAGGCAGGTGGATCACAAGGTCAGGAGATGGAGACAATCCTGGCAAACACAGTGAAACCACATCTCTACTAAAAATAGAAAAAATTAGCCAAGTGTGGTGGCACATGCCTGTAGTCTCAGCTACTCAGGAGGCTGAGGCTGGAGAATCACTTGAATCTGGGAGGCAGAGGTTGCAGTGAGCCAAGTTTTCACCACTGCACTCCATCCTGGGTGACAGAATTAGACTCTGTTAAAAAAAAAAATTAGCCAGGTGTGGTGGTGTGTGCCTGTAATCCCAATTATTTGAGAGGCTAAGGCAGGAGAATCAGTTGAACCTGGGAGGTGATGGAGGTCGCAGTGAGCCAAGATCACGCCCTGTACTCCAACCTGGGCAATAGAGTGATAGTCTCAAAAAAAAAAAAAAAAAAAAAAAAAAGCCCAAGCGCAGTGCCTGCCACCTGTAATCCCAGCACTTTGGGAGTCCGAGATAGGTGGATCACCTCAGAACAGGAGTTTCAGACCAGCCTTACCAACAAGGTGAAACCCCATCTCTACCAGAAATACAACAATTTACCAGGAGTGGCGGCACATGCCTGTAATCCCACCTACTGGGGAGGCTGAGACAGGATAATTGCTTGAACCCAGGGGGCGGAGGTTGCAGTGAGCCGAGATCGCACCACTGCACTCCGACCTGGGCGACTAAGCAAGACTCTGTCTCAAAAAATATATATAAATTTATATTTATATACACAAAATAAATAAAAAAATAAAAATAAATAAAACTACAGTACACCAGTGTGTATCCCTTCATTGTTGGTGGACATGTGGGTTGTGTTCATTTTCATCAGTTACAAATGATGCTGTTGTGAACATGTTTGTATTTCTATTTGGTTACCATTAGTGTGTATTTATGTACAGTATAAACCAAGAGGTGAAATCACGGTTACAGGGTAAACATATCTTCAGTTTTACCAGTTATTATGGGTTTCATCCCAATGTTAACACAGCAACTGACAGTCTTACAATGTCTGATAATTCCCAAATCTTCGCATTCTTCTTGACACTTAATTTCGTCAAAATTTTAATCTGAGTCTTTTGGTGGGTATGTGGCAATGATTGTGATATTAATTTACTGGGCCTTTTCTTCTCTATAACAGGCCCTGTCAAGATATATGTGTGGTGTGGCAGGGGTAGGAGCCCCTAGAGGTAGCATGGGCTCTGGAATCCTTAATCATCCTATGTGAAAAAGTTGGTGGGGCCGTGATTTTTTTTTTTTTTTTTTTTTTTTTTGAGACAGAATTTCGCTCTTGTTGCCCAGGCTGGAGTGCAATGACACTATCTCAGCTCACTGCAACCTCCACCTCCCAAGTTCAAGTGATTCTCCTGCCTCAGCCTCCCAAGTAGCTGGGATTAGAAGCATGTGCCACCACACCCAGCTAATTTTTTTGTATTTAGTAGAGATGGGGTTTCACCACGTTTGTCAGGCTGGTCTTGAACTCCTGACCTCAGGTGATCCACCTGCCTCAGCCTCCTAAAATGCTGGGATTACAGGCATGCACCCCTGCACCCTAATATTTCCTATGTGCAATGGTGTAGCCAGGGTGCAAAGCCAGTTCTTAATGATTCTGTCATCCAAATATTATACCTTCTCAATTCCCCTTGAGATATGCTCATTCCTCCATACAATTAAACAATCTCAATTACTCTTGAAGGAGCATAAAATCCTCCCTGTCTAATCATGGGTCTTTCCAAATTATTTGTTGGCTTGTGTCTAAAATATAAAAAAGAGAATGTAGATTTTGTTTTCTTCTTCCTGCTTAACCTGAACAAAATGTCATAGTTACCTCCTAGCCTGTTGCTAGACCAAGGAGAGTCACTTGAATAATGAACAAGACTGGAGGGAAACCACATGGATAATTTATCATTACACTATCATCACATACATGGAACTCATCAATGAAGCTTACGAAAAAAATTGAGTCATTTGTGGAAAAGTGTAAAGAGAATATAGGAGATGCCTCAAGTGAAGAGAAAAAAGCTGCAGAAAATAATTACAAAAAAGAGTGTTAAGATGTAAACACAAATTCAGAGATTCAGGAGCACAAAGGATTAAGTAAAGGGAAAAAAAGAGTTATCAGTATTTTCTTATTCATTATGGAGAGCAGGATGAATTCTTAAAAGGTCAAATAATTGTGAGTCTGATATATCTGACGATAATTTGTATTTTGTATTTCTAATGTTGTAAATGGTTGTTAATTCACAGTCATTATTCCTATTTTCTTTAGACTAGTGACCATGAGTTTGACTGACAAAAATCCATTGGGTTAGTATTGTTATCTATGTGTGTTCATCATGCTAAGTGTTAAAATAAGTCCATCAATTTTTGTCTTGTGTTTGTTTTCATTTCATTTTAGTTTAGTTTCTTTGGGACAGGGTCTCACTGTGTCACCCAGGCTGGAAGTGCAGTGGCATGAACACAGCTCATTGCAGCCTCTACATCTCCAGGCTCAGGTGATCCTCCTACCTCAGCCTCCCAAGTAGCAGGGACTACAGGCATGAGCCACCACACCTGGCTAATTTTTGTATTTTTTGTAGAGACGGGGTTTTGATATGTTGCTCAGGCTTGTCTCAAACTCTTGGACTCAAGTGATCTGCCCACCTTGGCCTCCCAAATTGCTGGGATGACTGGCATGCACCACTGTCCTGGCCTGTTTTCATTTTATTAATTGGCTGATTCATTCAGAAACATAATTATCAAGTAAAATCTCACTCTTTCCTTAGCATTTCCCTTCCGTTTAGCTGAGAAAATCTATTCCTATTTTAAAACATATACGATTATTCGAGTGTGGTGGCACATGCCTGTAATCCCAGCTACTCAGGAGGCTGAGGCAGGAGTATCACTTCAACCCTGGAGTGATATAGTGATTATATATAATATATAACTATATAGTGATTATAGTTTATAATTTTAACTATATCATGTCTCCTGCCTCATAAGTACCACTGGACAAGTTCCCTTTTATGAACTCAGCTGCTGTCAGAGGTAAATGTATTTTGAAGTGGAGAACAAAGATAAGTGCAAAATTGGCATGGAGAACTAAGGTAATTATGAAAGTTCCAGATACAAAGAGAGAGGGCTCAATATGCCAGCAGTTCTCTTCCAATCCATCCTAGTGGCCTTCTGTTAGGATTGCCTAAATAATGGAGGAGATGGGTGCAAGACACACAAGTGTTCCAGAAGCATGTAAACAAGGTACAGAGAAGAGGATAAGATAAAATAAGATGAGATAAGAATATTAGGAATGCCTTGTTCAGAAGATTGCCTACAGAGGCAAAAGGGACAGTTTCATTTTGCTGAGGGAAACAGGGTGGTAAGAACCCTCCTGGGGAAGATCCCCACTTACCCTGATACAGAAAGAAGGTGTAAAATTTCGTAATGGGAGAGCATTAGGCTGAGATAGCTCCCATGGCCAGGGTTCCTGCATAGACAAAATGAAATAAGCTTAGCCCACCCACAGGTGGCCTGCTGAGTATTAGCTGGGTAATGAGAGACCTACCACCAGGATAGTTCAAATAATGCAACTGCCCACATTTTTGCCAATCAAATAATTTCTCTACTTTACTTCTATATTCACCCTGTAAAAGCCTTCCTTACAAACACCTCCAGTAGATCCTCCAACCACTTTCAGTTTGGAGCTGCCTGATCCATGAATCTCTGTTTGCTTAAATAAACTCTTTAAAATTTTAATATGCTTAAGTTTATCTATTTTTTTCTCATTTTAAAAAATTGAGATGGGATCTTCCTATGTTGTCCAGGCTGGTCTTAAACTCCTGAACTCAAGGGATCCTCCTGCCTCAGCCTCCTGAGTAGCTGGAATTATAGACGTGTGCCTCCACACCCAGCTTACATTTATCTTTAAACAAGGGTTTGACGTCTTTCTGAAATATATTTCTGTGAAGACCTGTACCCTCAGTGATATGGCAGGCTCATTTTAGACCACTGAGCACTTTTGTCTCTGGACTACAATTTGCCCTTTGTGACCTGCTCTACTAAAAAATTCAAGTGTAATTCAAGTTAGTTTACCCTCTGCTGATCAGGGGAGATTGCTCTCGGTGCAAGTTCAAAACAGGCACTCACACTTTCATTCATACCCCAAATCTCAGCATCACACAATACACCCATGTAATAAACCTGCAAAGGTACCCTCCGAAATCTAAAATGAAAGTTGAAATTCATTAAAATTTTAATTTCATCTTATTACAAAACAAAGATAAATTTACTGCTTTCCAATTTTGATATATATATTATACTGACATACACACTGTATTCTATGGTGAATTATGTTGATTGAATTTCACATTTTAAACTAACACTGAGTTACTTTGAAAAACTCTATTGGGTGATAATGTATTATGTTTTTAATATATTTTAATATAATTTGAAAATATTGTTTTAAAATTACATCTATGTTCCATAAATAAATAAATATGTAAAAATAATAAATGTTTGTATTATTCAAGTGAAGATTATAGCAATATTTTTGAATATCTACTTAATCTCAACTAGTTTTAATTCAGAAGTAGCAACTCCATAGAAATTCAGCTTATTACTACCTTATTACTCATACTTGTCTCCTTGAAGAAGCTTCATTGCTATCATCCAGTTTAGACTGGGATGTCATAAATCTCTAGACTGAGTAGTATAATATCCACTGTACAAATAAAATCAAATTATTATTATAATGTTATGACACCTCCAAATACAAAAAGCAAGCCCATGGATGTCAGGTTAAGGTATAGAGACAAATATTCCTACTTACTGTCTTTTAGGGCAGACATATCCCAGCCAATCTGATTGCAAAATGAAATGGAAACCATATGGTGGAAGGGGACTTGGGACTCACACAGATTGGATTTTCATTCCAACCCTTACATACACAAGCTGCATGACTCTGGGTAGATTGCATATTCTCTTAGACTTTCAATTTCCTCATCTGTGCAATGGCAGTTAATGCTTATGGGCTATGGCTGATGTGGGGATAAAAGAACCAACATGGATGCATGGGCAGGGCCTGGTCCATGGAGCAGCTGGCATCAATAAATGGAAGCCCCTTCCCATCTTGTCTTTGCGTGCACCACAAAATCTGGAATATGTGGGTATAAAAAGTACTCTTAAAAGAGACATAATTGGAAACTTTTGCAAAAAGAGATTGGAAAGGTGTCACATCTTGTGGCATGAGGAGCTGTGGGCATACACTTGAACTTTGTGCTGTGAGATATCCACAGAACTTCAGTAGCTGAAGAGAACAGTTTAGATGTCATCTTATTCATCTACCATAGAACTTCCTCTTCTTCTCTGAGATTTCTAGACAATAACTTTTACAGCTCTAATAATGCAGTTGTCTCCCAATTGTTTGGACTATTCTAATAGATACAAAGCAGTATTTCACCAGCAGATGCTACTGCAGTTTGTATGATGATTTCAAACTGAGAATCTATTTAAAGTTATGCAATACTTTTTTTTGGAAATAGGGTGAAAGTAGTTTAAGTTTAAAATCCTATAAAATAGGTTTACAGTAAATAATTACTTGTTGCAATATCTATCATACTATCTTATATTCACACATGTGTTGGTGTCCTAATACATATGTATGAGAGTGAAAGTTACCTGAGGTCAGACACTGTGCCATATGTTCCCTGCACCACTGGTGCCTATTTCAGCACATGATATACAGTAGATGCTCAATAAATACTTTCACTTAAAAAATGCACTGAGAATAAATCTTATTAGACATCAAAATACATATGAGTACAATCTAGGGACATGGTCAGGAGCTCAAAATTCAATCTTATTTATTTTTTATTTGGAGACAGAATCTCACTCTGTTGCCCAGGCTGGAGTTCAGTGGCATGATCTCAGCTTACTGCAACCTTCCTCTCCTGGGTTCAAGTGATTCTCCTGCCTCACCCTCCAGAGTAGCTGGGATTACAGGTGCACACCAACACACCTGGCTAATTTTTTTGTATTTTTAGTAGGCACAGGGTTTCACCATGTTGGCCAGGTTGGTCTCAAACTCCTGAGCTCAGGCAATCTGCCCACCTTGGTCTCCCATAATGCTGGGATTACAGGTGCCAGCCACCACGCACAGCCACAAAATGTTTTAAAGTAGCTTCAAAACCCATTTGCAAATAGATGTATTCATAACAAGCTGCAAACAAGAAAACATTGAGCTTCATATAATAGAAGGATTCTGCCTGGATTTGCATGTGGCCCCATCATTTGTTTGCTGTTGGGCCATGGTCAGGTTACGTAGCTGCTCTCTGCCTCCACATAGGCTTTATGCCTGTGTATCCCTCATCTACAAAATGGGAATAATAAGAATATCTAACAGTTAGAAGTGGAGAAAATATATGTAAAGACCTTTGAAAAGGGCTTATGAAAGCTCAATAATTGTCCTCAATAATTGCTCTCAATAATTAATTATCAGCTATCATTCAATAATAATCATAATCATGAAAATGTATGACTCAAAGAAAGATTCTGACTTCATATCCAGCTTCCCAAAAGAATCAGACACTGGACCTGCGAAAAGAATGACATTGAGATGTATTTTCACATTGCTAAGTTGGTTTTTTCTTTGCCATTCAATTTCTGCAGTCCCTACTCTAAGCCCATGGTCCACCTTTTTATTTTTCCTCCTAAGATGTCTTCCCTTCTTGTAAGATTTACTTTTCCTTAAAAAGGGCCCTTTTCATCCACCCACTCTTTTGCCCTTCCCAGAAGTTGGTTAATGGACACAAAAATACAGTTAGATGGAAGGAACAGAAAAATTTCTAGTGTTCAATAGCACAGTAGGGTGATGATCATTAACAATAACTTATATATTTCAAAATGAGTAGAGGAAAGATGTGGAATGTTCTCAACACAAATAAATGATAAATGTTTGAGGTGATGGATATGCAAATTATCCTGATTTGATCACTACACATTGTATGCATGTATCAAAATATCACATGTACCCTACAAATATGTATAATTGTCATGTATCAATAAAAATAAAAAGGCCTATTTCTCTTTCCTTCCTCCCCGGATTCCCTCCTGTCCCAGATGTGTGTTGTTCCTGGTGCTCTCCTACCCCCCGTTCAGCCAGCACTGAGCCAGCAGGAAGGATCTCACAGGTCATATCCTGAGATCAACCCTCCACCACTTCAGGTAATAATCCTTCTGCTTTTAGTCATTTATATCCTTTGGTTCATACATATTTTGAGTCAAGTACCTTCTAACTACTGATCTACATAATATTCCTTGGTTTTTAAAGATAATACAAAGTGGATTTTAGTAACAATCTTGAGTCACCACAGAAGCTAATGAAGTTGGGGATTCCACAAAGCCATCCAAGCATATAAAGCCCATTTCCTTGGGTCCCTTTTCCTTAGCTCAAGGCCACAAAAAATCAGAACGTAAATTCCAGCCCACATTTGCATTATGTCTAAATAATTATGAGTTATAAATGAAGCTAACAAATAGTTAAATATGTTCTATTCTCCTATTTCGATAAATATACTGCCATAATAACCCACAAGGTCAAAGTTGAGTGTAGAATTCTCTGATTTCTTGGTGCTCTGCACAGGAATGTGGTAGTAAAGGGAGAGCTGATCATCAGCCCCAGGCTAAACTTTTTTCTTTCATCGTAGGTAGCCCTGTCCTCACTTGAGAAGCTTTGCATACCCTTGTGTGGGGAACTCCCTAGGCCCCATGCAAGCTCCATCCACAATTCTCACCCCTTCAGAAAGCAGATCCTTGGGCACCATTTGGACAAGCACAGTTTGCACTTTGAAATGGACCCAGGGAAGAGGCCATGCAGGCTCAGGCACATTTTGCCAGGTCCCTGAGTGCCCAGCATGTGCCCTAGAAGAGAGGGTGAAGCTCTGAGTGGGCCAGGGTACAGTCAGTGGAGGGCCAGAGAGGCACCTTCTCAAGTGCAGGATTCAGGGCAGGGGTCCTCTTGCCCAGATCGATGGCTATGATTGCTTAGTGCAATGGCGCCTGCGTCATGTTTTCTCAGCTCACCTTTCATTCAGTCTCAGACACCGTGAGAAGTTCCATGGAAGCACAGGCTTCTCTTGTGCTGCCAGCAAACTCAAGGTACACTTTCTGCCCTAGGGAATCTCCATTATTGTACGATTTTGCCTGAGCACAAATACAGCCCAGAAACACTTGCAGGTTAACAGCCTCAGGGGAAGACCTCAACCAGTGTGGGACAGGTGGACAAATGCTCCAGGCTCATGTTTCAGGTGGGCATTTCTGGATAACTTTCCGGAGCCTCTCGGAAGGTCCTGCAGAAAAAACTGCATGGCAGGAGCCTCAATAGCATGCCATTATTTTGGCTTTTCTTTCTTGCCTGGCTCACTCTTCCCACTTCTGACTCTTGCTTCTTGGAATCACTTTCCAAATAAACCACCCACACCGAAGTCCTTACTCCAGCTCTGCTTCTAGGGATACAGGCACACCTTGGAGATATTGCAGGTTTGGTTCTAGGTAACACAATAAGGTGAATGTCACAACAGCGCAAGTCACACGAAATTTTTTGCAAGTCACACGATATTTTTTGCTTTCTGGTGCATATAAATGTTATGTTGCCAGGCATGGTGGCTCACGCCTGTAATCCCAGCACACTGGGAGGCCGAGGTGGGTGCATCACCTGAGGTCAGAAGTTCAAGACCAGCCTGGCCAACATGGCGAAACCCTGTGTCTACCGGAAATACAAAAATGGTGGTGCGCACCTGTAGTCCCAGCTACTCAGGAGGCTGAGGCAGGAGAATTGTTTGAACCTGGGAGGCAGAGTTTGCAATGAGCCAAGATTGCACCACTGCACTCCAACCTGGGCAACAGAGCCAGACTCCATCTCAAAAAAAAAAGTTATGTTTAAGTTACTGTAGTCAATTAAGTGTGCAATAGCATTATGTCTAAAATATAATGTATATACCTTACTTTGAAAATACGTGATTGCCAAAAACTGCTAACCATCATCTGGGCCTTCAGTAAGTCATCATCATTTTGCTGCTGGATGGTCTTGTCTCAATGTTGATAGCTAGTGACTGATCAAGGTGGTGGTTGCTGAGGGCTGGAGAGGGAGTGGCAATTTCTTAAAATAAGATGACAATGAAGTTTACTTCATTGACTGACTCTTCCTTTCACAAAAGATTTCACTGTAGCATGCTATGCAGTTTGGTAGCATTCTACCTACAGTAGAATTTATATCAAAATTGGAACCAATTCTCTCAAACCCTGCCACTCTTTTATCAACTAAGTTTATGGGATATTCTAAGTCCTTTGTTGTTCTTTCCACAATGTTCACAGCATTTTCACCAGGAGTAGATTCCATCGCAAGAAACCACTTTCTTTCCTCATTCATAACAAGCAACAATAATATAGTATTTTATATATGTTATATATGTATTATTATATAATATAAATTATATATTATATAACATTATATAATAATATATAATATTATATATTGTATATTATTATATTAATTATATTATATAATATTATATATTGTATATTATTATATTAATTATATTATATTATATATTTTATCATAATATAATATGTATTATAATATATATTATATAAGCAGAAATGATATCCCTTGGTTTTTAAAGATAATACAAAGTGGATTTTAGTAACAATCTTGAGTTGTCACAGAAGCTAAGGAAGTTGGGGATTCCATGAAGCCATCCAAGCATATAAAGCCCATTTCCCTGGGTCCCTTTTCCTTAGCTCAAGGCCACAAAAAATCAGAACATGAATTCCAGCCCACATTTGCATTACGTCTAAATAATTATGAGTTATAAATGAAGCTAACAAATAGTTAAATATGTTCTATTCTCCTACTTTGATAAATATTCACAGTATATTATGATAAATATATTGCCATAATAACCCACAAGGTCAAAGTCGAGTGTAGAATTCTCTGATTCCTTGGTGCGCTGCACGTGAATGTCGTAGTAAAGGGAGAGCCGATCCTGAGCCCCAGACTGAACTTTTTTCCATCTAATTCCATTTATTTCCATTAAGATTGCAGCAATTTGGCCGGGTGCGGTGGTTCATGCCTGTAATCCCAGCACTTTGGGAGGCTGAGGCAGATGGATTATCTGCAGTTGGGAGTTTGAGACCACCCTAACCAACATGGTAAAACTCCTTGTCTACTAAAAATACAAAATTAGCTGGATGCAGTGGCACATGCCTATAATGCCAGCTACTCAGGAGGCTGAGGCAGGAGAATCAATTGAACCCAGGAGGCGGAGGTTGTGGTGAGCCGAGATTGCGCCATTGCACTCCAGCCTGGACACCATTGTTGGTTTTGCCATCACCCCATATGCCTCCGGTGACACACATTCACACCATCTGCTGTGGGATACGCCAGTGCCACGCGTGATCGCATTGTCTCCACCTCGGCTTCGCACCATCCCTGTTTGCACCTGTCCTGGAAAGCGGTGTCCGCTTGCAGGAGCCCCAGGGCTTTTAGAAGTGGGGCACGCCACTGCTCTTTCAACGGAGGAGGGAGGCAGAGGGCTCACAGATCAGTGAACTTTCAGCTGACACCACGCCTTGAGGGCCATGGGATCATTCTGTGCTGCAGCGACGACCTGCCTGCCTCACCAGATGTGCTGAGCCCATCTTTTCTAACCCGGAGGGGTCAAAACTAGGATCTGAAGAGGAGTCCTGAGAACCCAGCAGGCACCCTGAAGATCCCCCTCCATCGGCGGAAGTCGGCTCAAGGATGTCTTGAAGATTGGACTCCTGGGGGTTTGGCCCTGGGACAGGATACTCAAGGACTCCTCTCCCACCCCGCCCCAAACTGGACCTCAGCCCCCACGCCACAGCCCCCACTTTCTCCCCAGAGCTGAGGGACAGACAGAGAATTGCGACTAGAAATTCGATCGATTGGTACGAGGGAACACGTGGCCAGGGGCTGGCCAATGACCAGGCCGCCCGGGATGAGCTAATAATGGAAGCAATTTGTAACTTTCAGTAGCTCTCTAGGCCTGGGTACCGGAGGGAGGGAGGCGGGCAGAGGAGGGGAGATGGGCACCCCCAGTCTTTCCATCCTCCTCATTCGTCTAGGGGCACCCGAATCCCCTATTCCTTATTTCCCCTATCACTCAGGCACTGGCAGGGTCTTTTGCCCACTCCTGTTGGCCGCTGCGGCTCCAAAGCGAGGTAAGCTGGTCCTCTACCCCTCAAACTCTTCACAACCCTCATCCCGTTTACTAGCACCTGCAAACCACAGCCTCCCTTCTTGTCCCATTAGTGAATTTAAATCGGATTTTGTTTTTCCTCTTAGTTGAAAGAAAAATAATCTTTTTGTATTCTTTTGCGTAACCTATCTCGGATTTGGAGAAAATTTTAATTCAAATTAATACGCTTATATTGGGGGGGTGAGTGGTACTTTCCTCCTTTTCAATAAATTTCTATACTTGCTACTTTATGGAGAGTTTACTTTTCTTTGGGGATGAGTTACACCTTATGTTTTCACATGTGTTACTTCTTTAATGATAAGTTCAACTCTTTTCTCCATTCCATCCTCCAATTTTGCTATTTATAAATATCACCTAATGGATTTAGAGTTTATTCATTTTTCTCCTCCCTCACTAGTTTTTCAGCTGTTACAGAATCACCACAATTTATTTTTCTCTGTATGTGGATGAGGTTTTGTGTTGATTCCTATTTTGTTTTGTAAATGAATTTATTGTTTGGGAAACTCTTGGGGGATGTGTGTGTAACAAAGGTCTCTTGATTAATTCCAACCTCTCCTCTTCTGAAGAACAATTTGCTTGAAATGTTTTGAGTATTTTCCTCATTTTTATTATGTCTAAATTTGAGGTATTTTACCTTCTTTAAAACCTGGCCTCTTTTTAAAATTTAACCTTTTGCATGTTAAACCATTTTTAAGGTTTTTATTTTATAAACTGCAATGATTAGTAGATTTACTTGCCTTTCCCTGACCTCCTTCACACGCCTGCCTCCTCCATCTCAAAACTCCCATCCCCAGCTTCCACAATTCTCAGCTTCCAATGGACTCATCCTCCCCTCTCCTCCCAGCCAAGGAGGGATGCCTGGGAAGTAGACAGTGTCCTTCTTGGGTCAGAACCTATGCTCTGGTTCTAGTTCAGGACACCTCCAGTCTGACCTCCAAGCCGGCAAAACGAGTGAGAGAAGAATTTCTGCTCAACTTTTTCATTTGGGACTAAGTTCTTTCCACTTGGCTGTATTCTGGAGAACTCTGATACATGAAATTGAATTTTAAATTCTCATTTTTTCCCTAAATTCTAAGAAAAGTGCAGGCAGATTGTTTTTCTTCCTTAAATGTAAGCTGTTAGCTTAGGGGTCAGCCCTTTGGGTCTTTTATCTCCTGAGGGAGACTTCTCAGAGAGACACACAGTGTTGATTCTTCCTTTTAGTTTTGGGTAAGGTAGAAGGGGCAGGGACTGGGGAAGCCCATATTGATCTCTGGCTCTAGCTCTGAACAAAGAAGGGTAGAGAGCTGGCCTGGGGACTTGTCCCTTTGGTCAGTAAGGTTTGGCTTAGGAGAGAGTTTGAAGTAAATCCCAGCTCTGAGGAAATTCTTCTTTTTAGCATTACTGTGAAAATAAACTCTTAAAATGGTGTGACATGGCGTCAAACTATTCAGATTCCTTGAAGTAACAAAAATAAACTTACAAGAGTAATTTATGTTTCCCAAAGATCCGCCTCCAGTGACTGTCCATTTCTCTCAGGGAAACAGAACCCAACTGGGCAGAAGTAAAACTGCCACCCCTCCCCTTTCAGTTCCCCAGTCACATTGACATTCTGGGCACATTTGGCCCAGCCCTCATCCCTGCTTCTCCCAAGTATGAATCTAAATTACTATTAATAAGGGGCCGCTCCAAGTTAATTGGCATTAAAAGAATTCATTTCAATTTGTTAATATTAAATGAATGCTCTGCACTTTAGCTCCCTTCTTCGCCCTGGATTCCCAGATGAGTGATGGGAAGAAGGGGCAGGGAAGTAGAATGAGGATTTTATTTCTGGCTCTCCAGCTTAGCCACTGTGGTGCCTCCCCTGGGGGTGTGCAATCAGGCACAGTGGGGGCCTGCTTGGGGAAGGTCTGATGGTCTTTTTTGGTGAAATTCATCTGTTTTAGCAGGAGTTGTGGGGGAGGGTGGGTGGGGAGCAGAGGGAGAGGGACAGAATGGTTTGGGGGACTTTGTGGGGAGCAGAGGGTCTAGGGAGAAAGTGGGAAGGGAAAGGGACGGAGGTCAACAGGAGTTTTGGAGAACAAGGGTTGTAGGCTGTGGGGGGTAAAGCCGATTTGTGAAGAACTGGTGATAGGAACTAAAACAACCCACCTAGAAGGGGAGGGGCTTTGAGCAGGGGTGGGGAGGTGGGATTTGAGGCAAAACAGCTAGGAGTTCTGAAACTATTAATATCTAGCTGTGTGACTCAGGGCAAGTTGCTTAACTTTTCTCTCTGCCTTAGTTTCTTGACCTGTAAAACAGGGATACCAATAATAGAACTTATCTCAGGGGGTTATTTGGAATTAGAGGAAATACATGCCATGTGTTTTCCACAGTGCTTGACACATAGAACCTGCCAGTAAATGTTAGCTCTTTTTATGGCAGAGTGGTTAACAGGATGGATTCTGGAGCTAGACGGCCTGGTTTTGAATCTCAGTCATGCCTTATGTGAGTTGTATGACCTAGGCAAGTTACTTAACCCCTTGTGCTTTAGTTTCCTTGTCTGTAAAATGGGGTTAATAGTACCTAGCTCAAAGGCTGCTGTCAGGATTAAATGAGTTATATGTACGAAGAGCCTGGAACAATGCCCATCCCATAGGAAACACTATGTAAGCATTAGTTGTCACTGATATTGTTGCTCTTCTGATCTAGGAAGGTTGAAAATAGAGGCACAGGTGAGCTACTACTTACAGGCTAAGACTGGAATCAGATCAACTCTTTCACTCCTATCCCTGAAGCTAGTCCTGCAACTGGGGCTGCATATGAGGGCTTGGGGAGAGATCCTATAACCCTGGAATCTGGGATATCCAAGTCCTTCCTCTGCTCTAGCTCTTGGGTTGGTGGTCCCTCCAAGACCCATAGACTCGAAGTCACTTCTTTTTCCCTCAGCAGGGTTGGGGTGGGGCTGGTAATGGGAGAATTACTTTCTTGGTCTGATAACTCCCTTTAGTAGAGAGTTAGTCCTGGGAGTGTGAGTTGGGGGAGGTTGGGTAGAGCAGAGGAGATTAAATATCCTTTATGTACCAGCCCACACACACTTGACCTCACCAGAGGGTTGGGAAGACAGAGATTCAAAGAGGGGAAGTGATCTGACAAAGTCCTAAAGCTAGAACTTGGCAGAGTTGGCATGTGAACTCTGATCTGCTTGATGGCAAACTTAAAGCCCTTCCATTGCTGCATGCTTTTTGAAGGGAGAAATGGGACACGTGTAAACTTGGGCCAGGACCATGGGGTAGATGGAAGATGGGCGAAGATAGAGTATTGGAGTGGGAAGTGGCCAAGCAGGAATGTTTCAATCATGGAAGATTTCCTGAGAAAAGAGATTCCACATCAGGGTTCAGATGGTAGGGGAATGAGGATAGGAAGTAAAGAAGAGGGAGGGAGCCATGCATTGACAAGGAAGGAGAAGAAAAAACAATTTATGCAAAGGCTGGGTCAGAGTAATGGACATGAATTCAATTTGCCTTGGGTTTGCCTTACCATTTATTGAAGGCATACTATGTACTAGGTACATACATGATCACATTTGATGTTCACAACAGCCCTGACAAGTGGGTTTCTTATCCCTATTTCCAAAAGAGTTCATTGAAGTTCTGAGAGCTTAATCCCCGCTTTAGGTTACACAGTAGTAGCTGGATTTCCTGGCATCAGAACCCTCACCTACGCTGCCTCTGAGCATGGCTTCTGTGCCCCAGTCTCAATTTCCATGACTGTTTCAAGTCCTCCTGTTCCCCCGCATTTGTAGTCATTCTTGGTGACTGGGAACGAAGGGCTAGAGCGTGAGCTGAAACTGAGACAGGGAGTGGCAGGCAGGCAGTGGGGACAGAAACTTTTCTCAAATCCACCCATGTGAAGAAGATGGACAGAAGGGTGGTCTTTCTGGAGAGAGGCTTCCAAGCCACTTTCCCAAGAAAGACAGCTGATCTTGGGATAAATGGCAGGGACCTGATTGGGTAGGGGATGGGTGGTCACATTGTTTTCTGGGCTGTAGACTTTATTTCCCTTCCTTTGGGAAGAGAAGAGGAAGAGGACAGCTCAGGTGTGGGTTTGAGCCCTGGATTAAGACTGCCCATTGTCCACTAAAATCTCTTCTTTCCTTGCTGCACGAGGGTGGAGGGACACCCAGCTGGACACTCCATTTCCCAGCTGCTCTTATTGCCAGGTGTAGACACAGGGGAATGTGAGGTGAGCATGTCCTCAAAGCCTGACGGATTGGGTAAATTCTCCTTTGTGTTCTCTCTTTCATGAGCTGGGCAGATGTGCCTGAGACAGGTTTGACCAGGCAACTGAAAAGACATCCCTAAGAGAAGACAAAGCAAAGGTATGAAAGGAACACACGTCCCTGACTGACTAGGAGGAACAGAGCTGCCTGCTATCTGGAACAACTTCCTCCCAGACTAAGTGAGAAATAAACTTCTGTTTTCTATATGCTACTGTGTTTGGGGGCCTTTGTGTTATAGAAGTTTTGCTGTCATCCTTTCCAATTCACCTTCTCACACCAGATATTTCAAATTAAGAAGATTATATCAGGCCAGGTGCCATGGCTCATGCCTGTAATCCCAGCACTGTGTGGGGCTGAGGCAGGTGGATCACTTGAGGCCAGGAGTTCGAGACCAGTCTGGCCAACATGGTAAAACCCCATCTCTACTAAAAAATACAAAAATTAGCTGGACACAGTGGCACACTCCTGTAATCCCAGCTACTTGGGAGGCTGAGACAGGAGAATTGCTTGAACCCAGGAGGCGGAGGTTGCAGTGACCCGAGATCATGCCACTGTGCACCAGTCTGGGCTACAAAATGAGATTCTGTCTCAAAATAAAAAACTGATTACATCAGATCACGGAATAACTATAATAATATTTATTGGGCCAGATAGTATGCAAAGGACTCTATGCACATTATTTAGTGTAATCTATGTGACAATCCTCTGAGATATGTGTTACTATTCCAATTTAAACAAGAGGAAACAGGTTCAAGGAAGGTAAGTTATGTGCTGAGGGACACACAAGAGGGGGTGGAGCTGGATTTCAAGCCCACTGGGTGTACAGAACTGAGCCTCTTCACCATGGGGGCAAATCCCTCCTGAGGACAGGGCTGGAAAGGCCATGGAGATCATCTTGTGCTTGGACAAGCCTCTCACCAGTCACCACAGGGCCCTGACTCCCATTCCTACCTTCAAGAAGCTCAGCAGGCTACTACTCGTGTTCATGTTGGGTCACTACATACGGTTTTATTTGAAGGAAGGACCCCAGAGTTAAACTCATTTGAAAACCCCTGATAAATTCAGTCCCCTCCCTCTTTTTACAGGTGAGGCCCGGAGAGAAGATATGACTTGCTTAAGGTCACACACTTAGTTTCTCTGTCAATCTTTCTAAATCTAGGACGAGTTCTCTTCCCACTGTATCAGGCTGCCTCAACAAACAGGGAAGTACAAAAATAGCCAAATCCAGGAAGGAGGGCAAGTGGTCTGTGTCTCCTCCAATTATTTCATGGGACAGCCAAGCCTATTTTCTTGATTTCCCTTGTGCCCCTCCTGTCGGATATCTGCTTTGGGACCCATCTCTTTTGGGCTTGCAGAGAGAACGGGCTGCACCAGCTCTCTACCCTCTGCATCACCCAGATGGTCAAACATGCAAAGGGAAAGGAGAGCTGGGGCCAGAGTCAAGGCAGGCAAAGAGACTCCTCAACCCCCTCCAGTCTTTCCACATTTATATTTTTGGAATTTCAGGCTCCCTCCTCCCCCGGGACCTTTCCTAGTAGCCCACCAGGGAGAAGAAGAGGGAAAACTGTCATAAATTTCTCCTATTTATACAAGATGACAGAGTTTCTTGTGCCAGAAAAAACACAGAAAGGGAGCTGTCAGGGGAGAAGGGACCCAGCCCTATATCTTCTGGGGTCAATTTATCTTTCTGAATCATGGCTTGGGGGCTACCCTAACATTGCCTGTATGAAATGCAGGCTTTGACTTGGGGCAGCCAGGCCAGACAGCCCCTGAGCTTTGTTTCTGATCACAGTTTTCCTGCTTCATCTCAACTTCCCCCTACCCCTTACGCTGTCTTTTTAAAAAACAACCTTCTTGAGGTATAATTCATGTGTCATACAATTCACCATTTGAAATGTACAATTCAATGGTTTTAGTATATTCACAGGTATGCCAAACCATCACCATAGTTAATTTTAGAACATTTTCATCACCTCAAAAAGAGATCTTGTAACCTTTAGCTATCACCTCCCTATCCCCCCATATTCCTTCTTGCCCTTAACAATACTAATGTACTTTCAGTCTCTGTAGATTTCCCTATTCCGGACTTTCATATGAATGGCATCATATAATAAGAGACCTACTGTGACTAGCTTCTTTCATTGAGCATAGTGTTTTCAAGGTTCATCCATGTTGTGGCATTTATCAGTACTTCATTCCTTTTCAAGGCTGACTAATATTCCATTGTATGGATATATCACACTTTGTTTATCCGTTCATCTATTGGTGAACATTTGGGTTTTTTCCACCTTTTGGATATTATGATTCTCTCTTTCCTCTTATTGTCTAGACATCTTGGATAGTATCCAGTGAGGCCTGTGGGCAAGAATGGGTGTTTCTTATATTTGGGAACACCTAATATCCATGAAAGCAGGGTCTTGGCACATGTCTGCTTTCGTATTAAGTACATGTACTAGCTGGAATTTTCCTCCCTCTGTTGTTACTGAGTTGGGGCTGCTCCCTCCTTTATCAATTCTCCCTTTTTATCATGATTGCTGTGTTGGAAACTTGCTGACTCTTCAGACTAGGGGATTCAGATCCTTCTCTTGGGGCTTCAGAGACATGGAGTGGATGAATGAATGACTTCCCATGAGGGAGGAGTTCCCTGAGTCTGGTCTCAAGTGATTATCCAGTGCCTCACAGTGGAAGGAAGGTCTGTGAAGACTCCAGGGTCGAGGGAAAGTTATGTTCTTGGAGGTATGACTGAGCCCAGAATCCAGGCCTCCAGTGTCCATCTCCTTGCCTGGCCCATTTCAGTCTTCAGACATGCTTTGAGGTCAATCCAGTCACTCACCCAGCAACAGACACTGCCTCTGCCCTCATGGACCTTGCAGTTCTAGTGGTGAGAGTAAGATGAATACAAGTGAACAAAATGATGGCAAGTTGTTCAAGCTTGTTCAAACTTCTAAACACTGTTCAATGAATGAATGAACCAACAAGAACTTACTATGTGCTCTGGAAAGAAAATGTGAAAAATGTCGAGTTGTAAATCACTTTCTGCTACCGCTACCTTTCCTAGTCTGGAAGTCAGCATTACTTCTCCATCCCTTGGAGGAGATAGTGGGCAGATATTACAAAATGTTAGCTAAAAAGAGCTACCATTTATTGGACCAGACATACACCAAGGGGTTTCTATAGTTCATTAATTTTCACCCTTTGAATTAGGCATCAATATTTCCATTTTGAAGATGAGAAAAACCGCAACTCAGGGTTTAAGTAGCTATCTGAAATCACACCCATAGCAGTAAGTGGCAGAACATTTGCTCTGGACACTGGGATAAGTATGTGTGTATGGGTTTTTTTGTTGTTTTTTGTTTCTGTTTTTGTTGTTGTTGTTGTTTATTTGTTTTTGGGATGGAGTTTTGCTCTTGTTGCCAAGGCTGGAGTGCAATGGCATGATTTCAGCTCAATGCAACCTCCACCTCCTGGGTTCAAGTGATTCTCCTGCCTCAGCCTCCTGAGTAGCTGGGATTACAGGTGCCCACCACCACTCCTGGCTAATTTTTGTATTTTTAGTAGAGACGGGGTTTCGCCATGTTGGCCAGGCTGGTCCCAAACTCTTGACCTTGTGATCCGCCCACCCCGACCTCCCAAAGTGCTGGGATTACAGGCGTGAGCCACTGCACCCGGCCATGTATGTGTTTTTATGCCTAGCACTTCATAACAAATGCCAACATCTCTTCCTGCGGCCCTACCACAGAGGGAGCTGATCAGTTTCCCCTCCTGCCCAAAGGCAAAGCAGCCACAGTGGAAGTGCCTGAGTCCTCCCTCACAGCCTTCTGTCTAGTGGTTATTCCCGCTTCGAGGCTAAGGAAGGGAAGGACCCGTTTTGCCTTCAAAGGCTTTTTCCTTCCAGCCCTTGCTGTGCAGCCCGTTGTGTGTGGGAGGAACCATGAGAGGCCTGGATATTGTCAACAAAAGACTTGAACAAGCCAAAGAGCTGATTATGTTGACAAGAAGGGGACCTTAACAAGGCAGATAATCAAAAGTTGATGACTGACAGCCCCTTTCGCATCCCTTCACCCTCTACTAAATCAGGTCTCTTACATGATCTTGATGACAAATAATAAAAATTATAAACACATTACAGTTTTCACATGCATTTGTTCACTTCTCACAGCAAATATGAGATTTATCTAAGGCTGAGCAGCTTATTACAGAAAAAAGTTTATGGGACTAGAACCTTAATTTTATGTAACAAAATTTATATAGAGCTTACCATGGATCATGTACTCTCCTAAATAGTTCAAAACTTTCATTTTTAGAGAGATGGGTGTCTTGCAGCCAGGCGCAGTGGCTCACACCTGTAATCCCAGCACTTTGGGACGCCGAGGTGGACAGATCACCTGAGGTCAGGAGTTCGAGACCAGCCTGACCAACATGGTGAAACCCCATCTCTACTAAAAATGCAAAACACAAAAATTAGCTGGGTGTGGTGGTTCATCCCTGGAATCCGGAGACTGAGGCAAGAGAATCACTTGAATCCAGGAGGTGGAGGTTGCAGTGAGCTGAGATCATGCCATTGCACTCCAGCCTGGGCAACAAGAGTGAAACTCCATCTCAAAATAAAAAGTGGGGGAGCAGTCTTGCTATGTTACCCAGGCTGGTCTTGAACTCCTGGGTGCAAGCAATCCTTCCACCTCAGCCTTCTGAGTAGCAGGACTATGGGCCCATGCCACCAGGCCTGGCTGTATCTCATAACTATTAACTCATCTACTTTTTCACCACCATGTGAAGTAGGCATTACTGTTATTCACATTTTTTAAGATGCAGAAACTGAGGCATGGTAATCAAGTATCTTACCCAAGGTTGTACAGCCAGCATGTGGTAGAACAGGCATCTTGAGCCCAGCCCCAGCATCTGTAACCACTTCGCAAGGTGGGCATCGCATGGGGACTACACTTGAAACTCTAGTTTGTTAGTCTGGTGCCCCTGCTTCCGCCTGCCTCCCTCAGTCTTTATGGCCCATTGGAAAAAGTAAGCCAGAGCTGTGGCTCCCAGGGTGACGATCCTTCAGCTGCATCCTTGGCACTGTCATTCCCTCCCCCCATCTCCCACCAAGGGCTACAGCCGAGAATACCACAGACGGTTTGCCATGGATCAAGATTTCTCTCAAGAAAGAGCTCACAGAAAGGCTGCTGTGAGAAAGGAAGTCACTTGCTACTCCCCTCATTCCTCCATCAGGAGGAGCTAGATGAGGTCACTGTACATTTGAGTGGGTGCTATCAAAGCACAGCCTCTGGCCAGCGTGGAGGCAAATGTGGGCTGTGTGGCCCGTGACTCAGTGGCTGAAAGGAAACCTGAGGTGGTAGGTGATGGAACTGATTGAAATAAAACTTCTGTAGGAATGCTGCATGCCATTCATTCAACAGTGCTCCCTGACCAGGGCCCAGGGCTGTGCATATGAGCTGCAAATGGGTTTGTTCATTCATTTACATATCTATTTGCTTATTTATTCAATAAATTCTGATTATGCCCCTAAGAGGCACTGTGCTAGATATCAAGGAAGAACAAGACAAAATCCCTTCCCCACAAGGGCTCCCGGTCTAGAGAGGGGAGGAGGAAGGGAGATCCACAGTGATTTGTATCATATGCTGAGGAAAGAGAGTCATTTACTATCACCGTTTGACATCCTCACCCCCAGTGCGGTCCTTCTCTTTGTCTCTCCATGCTGGGAGTGGGCAGTCCCTGCTCTGCTGCCCTTCAGACACAGCCCTCTTCCCTCAAGCTGCCCTCTGCCTGGATCCCACCTTCCTTGTGAGCTGGAGTATTTGCTTGTGGGAGTCTTGACTCTCCTTCCCTGTCAGTCACTGTTTGGCTGCAGGCAGTGACAGTGGTGGCAATAAAGCAGCAGAGAGGAGGCTTTGGTATCAGAGCAGGGACTCACGGGTGGGATGAGACGGGGATGGTTTTATGTTTGTCCCACTGTGTTCTCTGTGCTGCTCTGCCCAGGGAGGCTGACCTCTGCAGACTGTGTCACATGGGCCCCCTGATCTCTCGGCCAATAGAGTTCCCGGCTGAGAAGGGGGAGAGAGGAGTCAGGGTATTTGTTTCCTCCATTCCCTGTCAGCCCCCCTTTTTGCCTGCTTGAAGCTCTGGTGGTGGTTGTGTTTCCTCCTTGGTCACAGTTTTGCTGAGTGGCCTCTCTCCTGTGTCCCGTGAGCCCAGTTGGCATTGGGCTTTGGTAGAGATATTTCTATCCTGGTGCCACACTAGCCCGTATTAGTTTTCTTCATCTGGTCTATGCCTTTAGAAACTGCCACATCACTAAACCCTTCAGTGAAACCCTCTCGAATGTGTCATTTATTTTCTGTTGCCACCCTGACTGGCTCACCTGGGTGCAGAGGAGGTGGGGACAGAGCAGGTTGGGGCTCCAGTTCAGCTTTGTTATCCCTCTTTTTCAGGGTTTCCCAGAGGAAGAGAGAGAATTTGGACAAATGAATGAGGAACAATGCTCTCCTGAGAGTTTCTTTAAGGGGCGAGGGTCACTGCCACTAGCTCCTTTGAAAGCAGAATTAAGAGGCAGTGCAGGAAGGCACAGCAGGAAGGCTTATGGTTAGACTACAGAGAAGGAAACAGCCACTGCTGGGGACCTACCCTGTGCTGGTCACTGACAAGCTGTCTCATTAAACCTTCCCAGACCCTCAACCCCTCCTAGTATCTTATCCTCATTTTACAGATGAGAAGACTGTGGCCCAGAGAGGTAAAGATCTGGGGAGCAGGATGGGAGCTTCACTTTGTCTCAGTTGCTCTGGCAAAGAGAAGCCTCACCTTGTGATCAAGGGATTGGGAGGGTGACAGATAAATTTTGGCTTAAGTGTCAGCATAGCACTGGGAATCTGGAGCTAGATGGCACTGGCTTGACTCCTTGGATCTGCCTCTTACTGGCTGTGTGATACTGGGCATGCCTCTGTTTCCCCATCTATAAAAATGGGGCTAATGATAACAACACCTGCCTTACAGGTTGTGTAGAAGGTTGAATTTGTAGTTGTGAGGTGCCCAGGAACAGTGCTGGCACACAGTGAGCGCCATACACAAGTGTTAAAGAATGGAGCCTCCTGCTCTCTCCTTATTTTCCACCCCCTGCCCTCTTCTCATTGCCCACCTCCCCTGCCTTCTCCTCACCATCCTGAAAAAGGGTGAACAGCCACCCAGGAGCCCCTGAACGGGCATGTTGGTCCCAGGCCCTTTGTGAGCATGCTTTTCCCTGCCCTGCCCCCTGTCATCACCATTCTGGATGGAGCAGCAAGGACGGAGACACTTAGTTGGGCTGTCCACTCCAGGTCCAATGCCAGTGGGATCAGCTTTGATGGGATGCACACAGACTGACCTCTTCTCCCCAGCCCCTTCAACTTCCCAGAGCTGCAGGGGGCCTGGGAGTTCTTGGTAACAGCACATTAAACCTCTGTTTGTGGGAACTTTAATTTAAACACAAATCAGAGACGGCAAATGACTCTGGCAGCCAGATAAGCCATCCCGGGAGAGCAAGGAGAAAGCCAAGAGAATCAGCCCAGATGAGTCCTGACTTTAAACTACTGGTGATACCCAGAAGCCTGGGACAGATGAAATCTAGGGGTCCTGAATGAAGAACCCCAGAAGCTCCACACCCCAGTTGTCCTTGCTCTGGGCTCTATGCCAGCTCCCTCTCCTGTGTTCTCTATATTTCTATCTTTTTGCAAAATTCTAACCTGATTCTTTGGCTCCATCCCTCCCACCCCCACCCCACTGTTTTAGAGAATGCACTTTCTTTACTTTGCTTCTCATCTTCTTCTGTGACCTACTATTCTGAGAAAGTTCTACTTGTTACCTAACCTCCATCTATGCTACTACCTTTAGAGTCTAATACATCCTGCTTAGTGGTAGCTCTGGGAGTTTCTGTTCATGTGGCAAATGTGGTGTAGTAAAAACAACCTGAAAAAGACCTGGGTGAACTTCTCTGCATCTCAGTTTCCTCATCTGTATGATGAGTGTGTGAGAAAGAATCTCTAAGGACTTGTAAACTCTGACTTCTCACAGAGAATCTGAGGACAAGGACATCCCAGGAAATCTCTATTGTTCTGGAACCCATGAATTTTCCACTGTTCTACTGTTTGGGAGTGAGCGTGGGGAGAGCAGTCAAGCCTGTTGATTCCTTTCTGGAAGGGGTCTACAGGCTTTGCTTCCACCCCTCCGCCCACAACCCAGGCTTAGGCCAGGCCCAGGCCCAGGAGAGAGGATGCCTTTTCAGTTCTGTCAAGGCCTGCTGAGCCCAGCTCTGTGGGGCTGTGGCTGCTAAGATGTTGTCTCCATCCTCTGGGGTAGGAGCAACATATGTTCCCTCTGTCACAGCACCTGTGAGGGTGGCAGAGGGATGGCAACCCCCAAGAGGGCAGAGTTCCATCTCTCCAACTGACTTTGAAGCATCTTTTTATCCTGCTTTTCTGGGAGGCTTAAAGTGAAGGCGGAGGGAGATATCACACAGTCCCAAAGCCCCCACTAAATGGGGAGCTACTGTCTTTCATCTTTCATGCAGGGTAAAAGAAGACACCTTGGCTACAGCAAGAGGAAAGAAGGTCAAACCACAGGCAGAACTTTCAGGTTGAATGTTAGAGCAGACTGTGATCCCAAGAGATCATCCAAGACCCTTGGTCTCAGAGGATGCCTATGAGGCCCTGGTCCCTGGCTGGGGTGGGAACAATAATCTCAACAGCCCCATGCTAGACTGACTTGGGAGTCAGAAGGTCCCTGGGACTAGAATAGAAGGACTTTGGCATTTTCCCTGGCCTAGGGCCCTTAGACAGAAGTGGGCAGCTGCCATCAGGAGCCTGGGGCCCAGCTGTGTCCACACCTTGCCCGCCTCCCCCCTCCTGAGTGCCTGGCTGCCCCTGGAGCCCCAGGCTTGCCTGCCATCTGGGCAGCTCAGAGGAGAGCCCACTGCCAAGGGAGTGCCAGCGTTGATTTATGGCCCACAACCTTGGCAGGCTCAGGCTGTGTGCCCGAACTGCCTTTGCTCAGGGAAGAGATGCTCCTCTTAAAGGGACAGTGCAGAGGAATGCAGGAAAGTCCAGGACGAAAGCTTGGCAGGGGGCTGGCAAAAAAGACCTCCACCCATCAGCACTCTGGGTGACTGTCACTCCCTAGGGAAACTTCTCCCTAGGGAACCACCCATCATACATGTTATCATACCCTATCCTTTGTAGACTTGGCCCAACTGTAACATATTAATATGTTTACTGTCAGTCTCTCCCACTGGACTGTAATCTCTAGGAGGGTAGGAACCAGACCCATTGTGCTCATTCCTGAATATTCAGCACCAAACACAGTGCCTGGCGCCTAATAAGATCTCAGTAAGAATTTGTCAAGTGTAGGAAAGAATGAATAAATGAAGGTCCTTGTCCATGAGGTGGAGGGAAGCCCACGTGTCTTCTTAGTGCCTGCCATGGTTTCCGAGACCCTGCGGCATCTGCTGCTACCCCCAGGATCTCTCCCTCCAGGACCCTTCCTCACCCCTGTCATATCAACCCAGGACCAATGGGGCCAATCTTATCTGGATACCCTTGCCTTCCCACTTTCCTTGAGTCACCTTTCTTAAGTCCTTCACACAATGTTCTTTTCCTCCAATTTTCCTTCCTCCAAGATACTTTCTCAGATTACCTACAGCCTCAGTCCTGGATTCAGATACTCTTTCAGATAATCTTTTATTTTTTTATTTTTATTTTTATTTTTTATTTTTCTTGAGACAGAGGCTCCCTCTGTCACCCAGGTGGAAGTGCAGTGGCAGTCTTGGATCACTGCCACCTGTGTCTCCCAGGTTCAAATGATTCTCCTGCCTCAGCCTCCAGAGTAGCTGGGATTACAGGCTTGTGCCACCATGCCCAGCTAATTTTTGTATTTTTAGTAGAGACGAGGTTTCATCACATTGGCCAGGCTGGTCTCGAACTCCCGACCTCAAATGATCTGCCCCCCTCAGCCTCCCAAAGTGGTGGGATTACAGGCATGAGCCACTGTGACTGGCCTATCCAGCAATATTTACTGAGTATCTACTATGCACTGGGCACAGGTTGCCAAGAATTCATGAATAAATGGAACAGGCATAATCCCTGAACTCAAGGACCATACATTTCAGAGAGTGAAACAGACAAAAAAATAAGTAAGCAAGTTAGCAAATAGATACATGCAATTTTGAGACCTGTTGTGAAGTGGGTAATCACAGACAGGGTGGAGCAGGGACCCTTTAAATTGGGTGGTCAGCTAGGCATGGTGGCTCACGCCTGTAATCCCAGCACTTTGGAAGGCTGGGGCGGGCAGATCACCTGAAGTCAGGAGTTTGAGACCAGCCTCACCAACATGGAGAAACCCTGTCTCTACTAAAAATACAAAAATTAGCCAGACGTGGTGGCGCATGCCTATAATCCCAGCTACTTGGGAGGCTGAGGCAGGAGAATCGCTTGAACCCGGGAGGCGGAGATTGCCATGAGCTGAGATCGTGCCATTGCACTCCAGCCTGGGCAATAAGAGCAAAACTCCGTCTCAAAAAAACAAAATAAATAAAATAAAATAAAATAAAATAAAATAAAATAAAATAAAATAAAATAAAATAAATTGGGTGGTCAGAGAAAGTTTCTCTGAGGAAGTGACACTTGGGCTGAGGTTTGAAGAATGAGAGGGAGCCATGTAAAGAGTGAGGTAACAGCATTCTAGAAACAGTTCAGTCACCTGGGTGTGCACAGCAGCATTTGGGGGATGGGAGTGGGAGAGGAGCTTTCCCAAACTGCACTCTCCTATCTCTTTTACATTTTGAAAGCCCCTGCCCTTCTAATGTGGGAGGACCACTGCTTAAAATCTTTGGAGAAGCAGCCCTGGCCTTACCTGGAAGCTGGTTAGAAAACAGAGCTCAGGTGCCACCCCAGATCTACTGAGTCAGAATCTGCATTTTAACCAGGTCCCAGGTCATTTGTATGCACAGTGGTGTTTGAGAAGCAGTGTTTCAGGAAATACCTCACAGGAGGGATGGAGTGTGAGGACATCAGATGATGTGAGGTGGGTGGGGTTGGGGGGTTGGTTGCTGAAGAGTGGATTTGAATCAGAGATGGGGGTCTGAGTGTGTATATGTGCCTCTGTGTGTGTGTTCCTCCAGCCCTAATGACTGTGGGCTATATGAGGATGTGCATCTCCAAGCGCTTTTCCTTCCATGGGTGTGGAGTACCAGGGGATACATCTTTATCCCACTGTGACAATGCCCCCACTTCCACCTACAGCTGTGAGTCAAACAGAATCTGCCAACCTCTGGGCGGTGGGAGCATCTCGGAAGCAAGGCAAGGCAAGGAGATCCCTTGTTCCTGACCTCCGGCAATCCATTTTATTTGACCCGAGTCTCATAAAGGAGTCCTGATGAGCCCAATCGCTTGCTAATGGTTATGAGCCGAGACCTGGGGATTTATGGCTGAGGCCTCCGTGGCCACGAACAGGAGTAGGGCTACGCAAAGGAGGCCAGGCTGTGCATGGCTTCAGTTCATGGAGGCCTGTACCCAGAACCACCGCGGAGACTACCACACCCCCACCTCCAAATCTGGGGCAAAGAACATTGCCCTGGGTGGGGGAAGCTGGGCTAAGGAGAAAAAAGACCTCTGGCTGGAGATGTCCAGGGATGAAGGGTGAGTGTCTGGGAAACTGGTCTGACTTGGCTGTGGGGTGTAGGGGGAGATACTGGAGAAGTGAGTGGAAAGGGCACTGGAATTGGAGCCAGTCAAACTGGGGTTCAAATCCTGGATCTGTTTTGCACCCGTGTATGACACTGGACAAATCATGGCTCTCCCTGAGCCTCATTTTTCTCATCTGTAGATGGGAATTGTGACGCTATCTCATAGGTTTGTGAGAATTAAGTGAGGCCAGGTACGGTGGCTCATGCCTGTAATCTCAGCACTCTGGGAGGCCAAGGTAGGAGGATTTCTTGAGCCCAGGAGTTCAAGACCAGCCTGGGCAACATGCTGAAACTCTGTCTCTACAAAAATACAAAAATTAGCCAGGTGTGGTGGCATGTGCCTGAGGCTGATGTGGGAGCATTGCTTGAGCCCAGGAGCTTGAGTCTGCAGTGGGCCATGATCATGTCACTGCACTCCAGCCTGGGTGACACAGTGAGATCCTATCGAGAGAGAGAGAATTAAATGAGATAATGTTTGTGAAAAGCACTTCGAATACCAATTGTATATATTTAAGTGGGTCAAGAGATTGGGATTCTAATTCCAACTCCACCACTAACTTTCTGGGATTCTAGCACTGGTTTTGTTACAAATGGCTTTTTTTTTTTTTCTGAGACAGGGTCGCACTCTGTCACCCAGACTGGAGTGCAGTGGTATGATCTCAGCTTGCTGCAACCTCTGCCTCCCAGGCTCAAGCAATTCCCCTGCCTCAGCCTCCTGAGTAACTGGGATTACAGGCATGCTCCACTACTGCCCGCTAATTTTTGTATTTTTAGTAGAGACAGGGTTTCGCCACGTTGGCCAGGCTGGTCTCGAACTCCTGACCTCAAATGATCCACCCTCCTTGGCCTCCCAAAGTGCTAGGATTTCAAGCGTGAGCCACCCCGCCCGCCCAGTTACCAATGGCTTTGTGACCTGGGGCACATCACAGACCCTTTCTAAGTCTTAGTTGCCCCACAGATACTAAGAGGGGACACAGTGCTCTTTTGGTTGCCTCCAGCTCTGATGTTTTGTAGTTCTAACGAGGAGTCCTTATTTGGAAATGGAACTTTGGAATGGTTTGGATCTCATTCTGGCCATAGAGAGGGCATCATTGCAACTGTGGCTTCAGGGCCAATGTGCGCTTAGGGGGGCTGAGTCAGAACAGCCCCCTCTTCCTCGATAGTGCCATCCTGTAAGTATAACCCCTGTATGGGTGTTGGACACAGTGTTGGGGAAGACTGTGCAACAGGGGTAAGTAGGAAAGGCCCTGTGGTAGGGGGTTAGCTGGGTATCCATGGAAATGCCTGAACTACTCATGCCTTTTGCACAAGTAGGTCTTCAAATAATCTCTTCTGCTTCCCTCTTTCCCACTCTTTCCCTGTCTAAGGTGTGTGGTGGTGGTGGTGGTGGTGGTGGTGGTGTGTGTGTGTGTGTGTGTGTGTGTGTGTGTCTAACCTGATTGGGAGAGTAAGCCAAATGGAGTGAAGTGGAGAAACATCCCCAAAAGTCCCAGGTAGAGACCTAAGGATTCCTAAATCACAGTGCAGAACAGGGTCCTCTACCCTTTTCCCATTCTGGGAACATCCTGAAGCCAGTCATTGTGGGAGAGAGACATGATCCCCAACCCAGCCTCACAGACCCCACCCTTCTTCCACGCTTTGCCCTACCCTCCTTTCTTGTGCTTGTATCCTAACCTTAAGCCCTAGAGACTTCTAGGTACCCAGAGAGCAGCCTATTCAGTGATGTTTACTGAGCGCATGTTATGTGCCTTGCACTGGGCCTGGAGCAAGGGCTAAGGAGTGAAATTAGACCTGATCCCTGTCCTGAAGATGTCACAGCTGAGTAGGCAGAAAGACTTTAAACAGATAATGGCAACACGATGTGCTAAGGAACATCAATGTACAAGATAACAGGTAGTCTGTATTTATGGGAGAGGGAGGCATAAAAGAAGATGCTTCAGCTGCTTTCTAAACATGTTTGTCGTGGAACATTGAAAACATATGAAAACAGAGCAGTATAGTGTCCTCATCATGCAACTGCAACAATGGTCACACCAGGATCTTGGCGTGTCTATACTCCCACCCACGTTCCATACCCCACTGCACCATTACTTGGGGTGGAACTGGGTTGGTTTTGAAAGAGGAACAGCAATTCCCCAAGTAGAAAGTGCTGGAGGGAAAAGTTTGCAGGCAGAGGGGATGCTGTGCTCAGAAGCTTGAGCAGTGCCTGATGCTGGTACATCAAACCGAAGCTGAAGGAGTGGGACAAGATGCTTTGGCCCCCGTGCATTCTGGCCCTAATGCATCTGTCACACAGCATGCCCTGTGGCTCCTTTTGGAACTCGGGTCTCCAGGCAAGTCTTCGGAAGAGCCAGGTTAGCGCAGAGCCAGCCCTTTGAGTGCAGGGAGTGAGGAGGCACCGCTAAGACGGCGGGCCTTGGCTGGGCGTCCGCGGGGCTTTGGTGGGCCTAGAGCGCTAGGGACTGGCACGCACCAGCACTGAGGGGCAAAGCGGGCGCAGTCAGGCCCTCCACCCCGCGTCGGCACGCGGTCTTAAATATTACCCCGGAGTTTTCAATTATCTCTCCTTAATGGATTTGCAGGGGCTCTTTCATCAAGCGCGGGGTGGCTGGGTGTGGGGGTGCGGGGAGCGCGCGGCGAGGGCTGGAGCTGGGAAAATGGCCCATATTTCAATATTAAAGCCCTTTACGATCGTCAGCAGCATGAAAGATGCTGCAAATTAAACGGAGCCGCCCGCGCCAGCCTCTCCATCTCGCAAGTTTTAATTAACGCTGAGGGGGAGGCGGCTGACGGGCGGGTCGGAGCCGGGCCAGCGGCGGATCTGGGAGCCTGCGGATCCCAGATTCCGAACTGGAGCGTCAGGGATCTCGCGGGCCAGGCCAGGCGGAGGCGGAGGGTGGTGGGCTCCGAGTCCCGGGCGAGGGCGCGGAAGATGCCCGTGGAGATGGGCAAGGCTGAGGGGTGGGGGACAGGTTGGAAGGTCTCTGAGCATCTGACCGGGAAACAAAACTCTGCAACTGAATGCAGGAAGCTTTGTTCTTAAAGGTGAGGGGGCTTGTGGCCAAATCATCGAGCTCTTCATCCCCAGGCTCCTTCAGCGCGCGTCCTTCTGCCTCTCTTCTTTCGACCAGCACTTCCCCCAAACGCTCCCCCGCGTTGATTCCCGGTCCCCTCCCACCTCATCCTGTGGCTCCTTGTTTCGGGACGCAGTTGTGCTTCTGTGACCCCGCGGCTCCTGTTCTGGGACGTCTGCTTTCTCCATCACTCCCTGGCTTCCCGGGCGGGCCCCATCCTCCTGAGCGGAGCGGAGCAGCGCGCACAGAAGCGCCACTGTTCTGCCTTGGCAGGGCCTGGCCCGACAGCTTGTGCCTGCGCAGCAGACCCATCCGTCAGGCGGGAAGGATGGAGCGACGTCCGGCTGCCCGCTCTGAGGACTCCCCAGGGAGACACATCTGGCCTTGGCCCAGACTCCTCTCTTCCCTTCTCCCAACCCGCCAACCCTTCCCCCAAATACCAGCTCAGTATATACTTCTGTCTCTCCTCCTTTCCTTGCTTCTCCTCCTCCCTCCCATACACATGCAGCCTGGGGCCTGGGGCCCAGGAGAGCTACTCCTCTCATGGGTCACACTGAGAAGTCCTTCCTCCACCTGCATCCACATGGCAGGGCATAACTCTAAAGCTTAAAAAGATCCAGCGATCTCAGTGGACCACAATCCAAAGCTAAGTCAGCCAATCAACACTCAAGGGCTTAAATCAAGGACTTTGGGCAAACCCTATAGAGTGGAGGAATTAGAAAAATAATACAAATAAAAGACATGGTCATTATTCCTGGGTATTTACAGATACTTCTTTGTGCTTCCTGAAATGTTTTGCAGAAATCACATTCTCCTCTCATTGTGCTACACAGCTTGTAAGCACCAAGACAAGAAATTCTATGATAAAGCAAAAAGAAAAGAAAAGAAAAAAATCCTCTTCTACTTTCTTCTTGGTGTGTATTTTTTCTTGTCAATTTCTGATAATCTATCAAGCCTACTTAAAATAGTGCCTGCTTATGCAGTATGGTTAGGATGATGAACACACTTAAACAGGATAGGGAATAAGTACAAACTACAAGTGCTGTGGGGATGCAGAGTAATAGGACAAGTGGTGAAAATTAAAACATTTTTGGCTTAATCAAGGAGTACTTCCTGGAAGAGGGGAGACCTGATTTGGAAGGAGAGGTGATATAAACTTGAAAAGAAAGTTCCAGATGTGGAAACACTGGTTTTATTCTTTATTTTTATTTTGAGACAGGATCGTACTCTGTCATCCAAGTTGGAGTGCAGTGGCACGATCTTGGCTCACTGCAACCTCCACTTCCCGGGATCAAATGATCCTCTGCCTCAGCCTCCTGAGTAGCTGGGACTACAGGTGTGTGCCACCACACCCAGCTAATTTTTTTGCTTTTTTTGTAGAGATGGGGTTTTGCCATATTGCTCCAGCTGGTCTTGAACTCCTGGACTCAGGCGATTCCCCTGCTGCCTTGGCCTTCTAAAATGCTGGGATTATAGGCATGAGCCACCACACCTGGCTAACACCGGTTCTAAAATTAGGCAGAATCTATATTTTACTTCAGGTTGAGGAGCAGATAATCTTGGCTATATTTTCCCTGACAATACAGTAAGATGAAAGAAACCTTGTGCAATAGCAGGAAGAATTCAGGGTAGACAGTGGGATCTTGGCTAATGCTGGAGACTAAAGTGAATGGAGAGAGACCCTGAAGCACCCTTCTCCCATACTTGGCTATGGGCTATGGGAGGGATGCCTGGACTCTGAGACTTGGCCACCATGTTGTGTTTTGCCATAGAAGATTTGGACATGAAGTTGAATAAGGCAGGAACGACCTCACAGCATCAACCACAACCCCCAATGTGGCTGGAGAAGGAGGGAGAGAGGGCAAAGAATATCTTCCTCTTACTCAGATTGTAAGTGGAGAAACTGAAGTCCATTCACTCAAATCCATAAGTGTCTACTGAGCACCTCCTATGTGGCAAGCACTATATAGGCCCTAAGGATCCAGAGATGATCAGGGCATGGTCCCTGTCAACATGGTGCTCACAGTCTAGTGGGAAATAGAGTTCACTCGTCATTCTATCATTCAATCAAAAACAAAAAGTATTGAGCACTTACTCTGAGCCAGGCAGAGTTGCAGGTGCTGGAGATGCAACTGTGAACAAGACAGACCCAATCCCTGCCCCATCAGAGAGTACTACCTGGTGCAGAAGACACATACATAAACAGGCAGCTATAATTCAGGGTGATGTATGCTATGAAGGGGAAAGGACAGTTGCCATGGGGTGGCATATCCATAGATATGCCATAGATCCATAGGTTCCCATGAGGGGATCTATCCGAGTCTGTGAAAGGGGATGTGAGGATGATGTGGAAGAAGCAACACCAAATCTGATCTGCTCACAAGGTGCGCAGAAGTCAAGTGTGGGATGGCATGGGGAGGGTGTCCTGGGCCGAGAGTTTGTGTTCCTTTTCAGCATCTTACTAGGAGCTTGTGGCCAAATCAGGCCCAGGCAGAGCTTCTTCCCTCTAGTCACAGGATAGCACTGGCCTGCACCAACACAGTTCTTCCAACACCAGCAGGGGAAACCAGATGATAATCCTAACAGAGCCAGACCAAGGAATGAGGTTATCAGTTTTCCTTTTTCTGCTGGGAAGTTTCTGCCTTGGGGCTAGGCTATGTAGGGGGAGGCTGGGAGGTGGGAGGGCACTGTGGAGGATCTTACTCTTTCCACCCTCCTCTCACTGATCCTAGTTTTGAACAAGAAACAGGTGATCTGTTTCTCTAGTTGCAGCTGAATAGAAACCAGGACAAGAAAGTGTTGTCCTCCCCAGACACGTTTCTGTCTCCTGGGTCCTAACCAGCTGCCTACTTGAGCCATCTGACTTCAATCCACAGGGCCTCCCAGGAGCTGAATCCAGAAGGGCAAGAACAAAGTAGCAAAGCAGGAAAGGGCATTCAGAAGAGAACAGCATGGGCAAAGGTCCCAAGGCCAGAGGACTTGGAAACTGCAAGTCCCTCAGTGTAGAGATGAGTCTGTAGAGGAGGTTGACACAAGCTTGTGAAAGACCCAGTATGCCAGGCTAAGGGGGTGGGAACAGTGAGGGACACTGAGGGTTTTATGGCTTAAATTTTGACAAGTGTATCTACATATAGACAACTAATGTAACACTCCTTTTTTTTTTTTTTTTTTTTTTTTTTAGAGATGGAGTCTCACTCTGTCGCCCAGGCTAGAGTGCAGTGGTGAGATCTTGGCTCACTGCAACCTGCGCTTCCTGGGTTCAAGTGATTCTCCTGCCTTAGCCTCCTGAGTGGCTGGGACTACAGACTGATCCCACCACATCTGGCTAATGTTTTGTATTTTTGGTGGAGACAGGGCTTCGCCATGTTGGCCAGGCCGGTCTCGAACTCCTGAGCTCAAGTGATCCACCTGCCTCAGCCTCCCAAAGTGCTGGGATTACAGGCAACACTTTTTTTAATTTTCTTTTTTGAGACAGAGTCTTGCTTTATCATCCAGGTTAGAGTGAAGTGGCTCAGTCATAGCTCACTGCAGCCTTGACCTCCCGTACTCAAGCAATCCTTCCTCCTCAGCCTCCTGAGTTGCTTTCAATTTTTTTTTTTTTTTTTTTTTGAAGAGACAGGGTCTCACTATGCGGCCTAGGCTAGTCTCAAACTTCAAGAGACCAAGGTGGGAGGATGGCTGGGCTCAAGAGATCCTCCTGCCTTGGCTTCTCAAAGTGCTGGGATTGTAGGCATGAGTCACTGCCTGTCCATATAAAGTAACACTCTTGAACTCACTATCCAGACTTGAGGTTTTGTTAAGTTACTGTTAAAATTTTGTCAATTTTGCTCTTGAGTTTTCAAAATAAACAGGTCATTACAGATAAAGTTGAAGTTCCCTTTGTCCCTTCCCCAGTACCGTTCCCCTCCCTTTCAGAAGCACCACCATCATATATTTTTTCTATTTTTATCATAGATATATATCCATGGATAACATTATAAGGCTTCAGTGCATTTTAAAAAGAGGTCCAATGGTTATGATATAATTTATAACTTTAGTTTTCCATCGCACATTTTTAAAAAAGTCTTTATTTGGCCGGGCGCGGTGGCTCACGCCTGTAATCCCAGCACTTTGGGAGGCCGAGGCGGGTGGATCATGAGGTCAGGAGATCGAGACCATCCTGGCTAACAAGGTGAAACCCCGTCTCTACTAAAAATACAAAAAATTAGCCGGGCGCGGTGGCGGGCGCCTGTAGTCCCAGCTACTGGGGAGGCTGAGGCAGGAGAATGGCGTGAACCCGGGAAGCGGAGCTTGCAGTGAGCCGAGATTGCGCCACTGCAGTCCGCAGTCCGGCCTGGGCGACAGAGCGAGACTCCGTCTCAAAAAAAAAAAAAAAAAAGTCTTTATTTGAGGTTTTCGGCAAAGTGCTGACAAGGGTAAAACTAGTGTTAGAAGATCATGCTGGTTACCAAGTGGAGTATTCCAGGTGACAGAGGAGGACCAAGGATGGTGACAGTGGGAAGGAGGAGACAGAGGTAAAAGGAGACTCCACACCACAGGTCACTGGTGATCGCCCTGTGAGGGCAGGGTTGTTTTATACATGCTGTTCTTCAGCACCATGAACAGGGCCTGGCTGTTGGAGATGCCCAGTAAATATCTGTTGACAGAGAAAGGTTGACAGGGGCAGATGGATCCAGGATGACTCCCAAATTCCTAACCCAGTGCAAAAGCCTGGATGATGATCCCAGTCTCCATTATGAGGGCCCCAGGAGGAGAAGCTGGATTGCAGGGAAAGATGAATCCAGAAGCCATCTCTCTGATCTAGAGGAAACGAGGCTGTGCTGTGTGGAAGGGATTAATGTTAGGAAGCAGACCAGACTTCCGTTCTTAGGACAGAAAAAAATCTTGTAGCGGATAGTTCAAGGCTATAAAAGATCTGAAGGGACCCAGAGATGGTAAGAGTGGAAAGGTTCAGTCCTGCTGGGGGCAAAGGGATAGTTGAAAAACAAGCCAAAAACAATAATCACTTTCCTCAGAAGGCCAGGAGGGCAGGGCCCAGCTTCTCCATCAGCCACAGTGAGTGTCTTATAGCCCTCTGTGTGGTGGGTACCCACAGCCCATTAGCCAAGGCAGAGGAGGAGGAGGAAGGTATAGTAAGTGCATCTAGGATCATAAAGACCTTGTCAGATGCCCACACTCAACTTTGCTCCCACTCCATATTCATCAACAAGATGGAAAAGTGGGGTGCTCACAACTGCTTCTTAGGACTTATTCTTGACCAAATTCAATTTCTCTGTTCAGGGAAGGATGTGAAATATAACCTGCTTTCCAACTCTTAAGACCCAGAGCTCTGGCTCTTCACCTCAAAAAGCTACCTTCTGCAAGAGCTCCCTCAAAGTCACTGCCACCCCCACTTCCTCACCCCACCACCCCTGCCCCAGGCACAGCCACCACCCACCCTCTGCTGCTAATTCACCTATAAATGGTCTCCTGCCTTGCGTCTCCACTCAGTTTTGTTCTTTCTCTAACAGGTTCCACTCCCCTGAAAGCCCACCCGATCCTTCCTGTTACCCTAGCACTAACTTCCTAAATGAAGTGCGGTGGCTTACAGTTCTGTCCTTCTCTGTTTTTGTCACTCTTTCCACTCACAATTCTTTGGGTCCTGGCTATGGTTAAGTGGCATTTCTCTACTTCATCCCTGGGTGCAGGGACAGAAATGCTTTTACCATCCCCAGTGCCCCTCTCTGGGGGTAGCAGAGAAGTCACTTTAGTTTTGTTTGGTCTGGTGGAGTAAGGCATGCCCTTCTTTCAGAGAGGGAGCTGTCATGGATCTAAGCCAGTCCCTGTCCTAGGAGTACTTGCAATTTAGACTTGCTCTTTAGTCAAGGAATTTTAAATATTGTAAAGCAATGCCGTAGCTGGAGGGGGAGAATCTTGGAATCCCCTTTCCATGAGTCTGCTATTTGAAGGTGTGGTGGGATCCCTTGGAAGTGTGGGCCCCTTGTACTCTGGATCTAATCCTTAGAGTCACCAAAGGGCCAACATAATGATTCTCAAACCAATCTGTGATCGGTCCCCTCATACCTTGAACTTGGGCAGGCTGCTAATTTTTATCAGAGCAATACACCCTGTAGATACCACCTCCCTGAACTCTAAACTGAGCAGAGCTCTAAACCATCAAAGAATCAGGCTATATAGACTTCCACCTTAAATGGGTGTAGATTCAACATGATTCCGAAAGTCACGTGACTTGCCTCGCTAACCAGGGTTCTTCCTCAGTGGGGAAACTACTTGGGCCATTTTTCCTTCTCCTTTTCACCTACCTGAATTATTACATTTATTTATAATTAACATATATTGCATGTAATATTAAAAAAAATAAAACTTAGAAAGACTTGGTGGTGGGTGCTGCTGAATTAGGTATCAGAGCCCCAGTTAGGTGGGTGTCCTGTGGAGTTTCTGATGAATCAAAAGCCGTTTTTGGGCACTTTAAAAACATGGACGCCTTGAGCCCTGGGCAGCCCCAAGGCTGTGACTACCGAGGGCACCCACAGAGGATTAGAACTGGGGCACTGGAATGAGAGGACCATCAGAAGCAAGGCCCGGATGCTCAAATTCCCACCACAGTCATAAAACTTAAGAGCATCTAAGTCGCAAGCAGCTTTTAGTTTCTTTCTTAAGAATCCAACTAATCTTGTGTTCCACCTTGTAGCCTTCTATAAAGTGTGACCATTCACTTGGTTGATGATTAATGATTCAGCTAGTAATTATTAAACAGAAAGGAACCAGAAATAAGAATCACGAATTTACACAAAACATTTCATGTTCTTAATGCTAAACTTGAAGGTAAAACACTAGGAAGGTAGAAAACACAATGTTGCTATTTGTTTTGTTCTTCTAAAGAATGAAGAAGTCAGATTTCCTGGTCCTTGTGTAGGCTCTCTTCCTGACAGGGTTTCTCAAACTTTTCTGCCAAAGTCCCTTTGTTATTAGAGGCAGGAGGGTAAACTTGGACCCCAGCAGTCTGGGGGATTGCCCTGAAGGGCCATTAGCAAGGACCAATTATTTCTTTTTTTTTTTTTTTTAAAAAAAGACATGTTTAATTAAATAATAGGTTACTTCATCTTCATTATTTGCATTATATAAAAATAGGATTTTTTATTAATAAGAAAATAGCAGATTCTTTTGTGGCCTTAAGTTTTAGCTCTAAAATGATGCAAACTTTGCATTTTATAACGTAGTATATTTTATACAACTTAATATAAAAATGATGTTTTAAACCATCTGCCATCAAAAAACCTCTGTGGCCCTCAGAGAGGCTTCTTATATATCCGGGGACACCCTCAGCGAGCAGCTACTGCAGTGTGGCCTGGGGAACTTGCACCCAGGTGAGAGGTGCTATGGGGTGTGGTGGTTTGTTAAACTAGCTGCCACTGTCCCAGGTTGTATCTTTAATGACTACCATTTAGTGAGCACTACTATGTGCCAGACTCTACGCCAAATGCTTTTATATGCTTATGCCATTTAAATTCTCACAACCACCTGCCTAAGGCCACACAGCTGTAAGGTGGCAGAGTGGGGATTCAAACACCTGTCTGCTTGGTTTCAAAGCCAACTGTGACCCCCTGCTGACTCTTAGAGGCCAAGGCTGAAGCCCCTGGCTGAGTGAGTGGTGGTGACCTGGGGAAAGGACTGTTGTGGTGCATCTGGAAAGAGTGTCGGGGGTGTTCCGAAGGTAGTGCCTTATCTCAATTGATTGTTCACAGTCAGTTACAGATCAAACTCCTTGTTCTGCTCCTTCCCCCTTCTCACTACTGCACTTGACCAGTCTTTAAAAAAAAATACATACGGTGCAGGTCTAATACGAGAAGGGTCAGAAAAGCTAGGCTTAGGTCTAGCTCTGCCTTTGACTAGCTATAGGTTCTTTAGGGAGGCCCTCAGCCCTGTCTATAAATGGGACTATAAAGGTCTGTGAAAGGGGCAATGGAAAAAAGATGAATGTTGAGCCACATCTCAGGCTCCTTTCTTGCTCCACTGCTTATCAGCTGTGTCATCTTAGGCACATCACTACGACTCTAAGCCTGTTTCCTCACTTCTAAAATGTGAAGAACAATACCCACCTCACAGGGCTGCTCTGGGGATGAAAAATAATACACATGAAACACCTGGAACAGAGTTTACATATAGTAGTTGCACAATAAATGCTTCCCAATAGTAGTTATCCTTGTAATAGTGGTATTAGCGATACTACTAAAGTATTATTATATAAAGTAGTATTAGCAATGCTACTAAAGTATTCATATTTTAAAACTGTGATTATTAAAGTGAGAAAAATGTATGAAAGGAATACTACAAATTAAGGTAATCCACTAAAAATAAGGAGCTGGAGGCTAGGCATGGTGGCCCACACCTGTAATCCCAGCACTTTGGGAGGCCAAGGTGGGTGGATTACCTGAGGTCAGGAGTTCAAGACCAGCCTGACCAACATGGAGCAACCCCATCTCTACTAAAAACACAAAAAAATTAGCCAGGTGTGGTGGCGGGCGCCTATAGTCCCAGCTACTCGGCAGGCTGAGGCAGGAGAATGGCATGAACCTGGGAGGCAGAGCTTGCAGTGAGTGGAGATTTTGTCACTGCACTCCAGCCTGGGCGACAGAGCGAGGCTCCATCTAAAAAAAAAAAAAAAAAAAAAAAAAGAGGAGCTGGAGGAGGCCCACCTTCTTAATGTACGCCAAAATAGTTCTGCTGGTTGAAGGCCTGGAGTTCCCTGCAATGGGTGGGGAAGGGGATTAGCCTGGGGAAATAATGCCTGGGTCAAGTTAGGGAAGATCCAGGTCCCTCTGCTGAGGGACAGTTTGGAGGACAGAGCCTGACCCTCCATGAAGAGAGACTCTCAAGGTCTCTTTTAGCTTTAACATTGGCTAAGTGTGATTCTATGACTCAACCAGTCTGCCCTAATTCCTCAGTGTGGGCAGGACATGAAAGACAACCCACCAGTATCTCAGTGAGTTTGTGTGGAGCCCACCTTGGCAGTCACACACAGACACTTCCCAGAGTCTCAGTGATGACGATTCTCTCTAAGGGGAACCCAAGCCTTAACCAAAGACCACCTCTCCATCTTCCTGCTGGGGTCTTGCAGGTCAGCCTAGAGGGAGTTTTCCAGAGCAGGTGGCTTCCTGAGTGGCCAAGATCATGTGAGCAGGATAAGTTCTCTTCTCGCTGGGCCTTTCCTCCCTAAGCTGGTGTCCCAGGCACCTCTCTCTGTTTGGAAATCAGATTCTTTATGGTTTATTTTTGACACCAGATAATCGCTGCCCAAGTTTCATCAATTTGTCACTGTTTTTATTGTCAGCAATTGCCCATAACTGGAGCACGTTTAAAATGTCATTGATCTTGGTATTACAGTGTCATAATCTGACAGTAATATGTGTAGCCAGCACAGGAAGCCCAGGCTCTGAGATTGATGGCGCACAGCACACCAATTATATTCTGTCCATCTAAGTGATAAAAGAGTACGTAGGAGGCATTCAATAGATAAATTAGATATCACTCCCAATTATGTCCTTTATTTTATGGAGTCATATGCTCCCCTTAGAACTTTTTTTCTTCATTTGGCTTGTAAAGGGGAATTACTTGACCCCCCTAAAGACTGGGACTGCCTCCCCTGCCTGTCCCAACTTGGGTTCTACCCTGATCCCTTCCGACAGGCTCATAGTCTTTCACCTGGGCTTTCTCTGGGACTCACCTAGGAGTTCCCCAGTGTGGTAGGTCCACAGGTGTAAAGGGAGGGAGGCAGAGGTGCTTCACCATTTGGGAAGGAGTTGGGTCAGGCCTTTGGGAAGGACTAGGAAGTCTGACAATGCCTTTAATGTGACACTGCCCAAATAAATGAGACCGGGAGAGGGGCTGGAAAATGGGTAAAAATCCTCCAGTCCAGACAACAGAGCCTTCAAATTAGGACAACTAGTAATTGGCTATGGCTGGGGAGGAAGAGGATGGTAAAAAGGTTTTCAGTCCTTAAGAAGTGAATTCATCCATCCCTCTACCTCCACTCCAGACTGGGTGGGGCCAATTCAAGCCCTTCCTCGGAAGAACTCCCAGAATCTTCTACATCCCCATTCTGATCCATATCAGATGACTTCCTCAGCTCAAGTCCTAGCTCTGCCACTGTGGTAGGGACATAATACCAGCTTTCCTGGGGGAGGCAGAGGGCTCCTGTTTGAGAAAAAGCCCGAAGAATGGTTCATTTCCAAGAAGAGAGCTCACCTGAGGCAGGGAAGTGCCTGGCCAAGGAATAGAGGTACAGTGAAGGCATAACTTTATTGGAGGCCTGGCTTATAAGCATCATAAACTCTGAGGACAGCCTTGACCTGGTCCAGACCCCTGTTTCCCCATCCCCCAAAGCCAGCAGGAAACATGGCAGAGGCCGAGACACCAAGTAGTAAACAGTGATCTAGGTCCATTGATCGAGCTTTCAAAGAGAAAGTGTCCATGGGTTGGGCTGCTCTCCATTGCCCTGTTGCCATCTCAATGTTATAAATAATTCTGGCACTAAGTGCCCTGTCACACCGAGTGGAAGTAGTTCTTATAGAGTGAAACCTGAGAATATGGGTCATGGGAGGAGGGGTGACTGGGGGCAGGGGTAGAGATGGGGAGTGATCACCCCAAGGCTCCTCAACTATACCCCTAGGCTGGTGATAGATGAATTTCTGGAGCAGAGGATGGCATTTCAAATGAAATGGTTATAGGAAATGAGTGTGATTTAAACAACGTCTTGGCTGATAAGCACCAGCCAGCTGGGGGGAGATGGCAGGCTAGAAGTGGAGGAATCAAAAGCCCAGAGGCCCCCAGTGTTAAGTAGCTGTCTGAAGCTCCGCTCAAACACACACACCAGCTTTGGTCTCAACATGTTTTTAAGAGCTGGTTATGATTTCCTTGAGGGCGGCTCAGATTAAGACTAGAGTGGAGCCCCCAGCTAAGCACCTTCAATAACTGTCGATCACATCCTCTTTAGAAACAGCAGCCTCTTCCCCTTGGCTCAGGGACCCTGTAATTGGGGAGGGCTGTGAAGCTGCATGGCTTGTCAGCCTGTTCCCAGGCAGCACGGGGCCTGTCTGTCCTTTGCCTGGGGTCCTGCCCTGGATCCCAGGAACAGAGATTGAGCCCCACCCACAGAGAGCTCTCAGTCTTCAAGAAGAGAGAAAACATACAACCTAGAAAAGAAGAGAGGAAGCAAAGAGAGCAAAAGGATGGAAGCCAAGGAAGAGGAAACTGTCACCAAATCCAGAATTTGGGCCTTTCTCACCACACGCACTGCTGCCATCCTGGTCCAAACCACACATTTCTCACTTGGATTAGTGCAATGACCTTTCAACAAGTCTCCCTGCATCTTCCCTTGGCCCCCTGTGATCTATTCTCAACACAAAAGACAAAAAGACTATTTAAAAACTGAAGTCCAGGCCAGGTGCAGTGGCTCATGACTGTAATCCCAGCACTTTGGGAGGCCAAGGTGGGTGGATCACGAGGTCGGGAGTTCAAGACCAGCCTGGCCAAGATGGTGAAACCCCATCTCTACTAAAACTACAAAAATTAGCTGGGCATGGTGGCAGGTGCCTGTAATCCCAGCTACTTGGGAGGCTGAGGCATAAGAATCACTTGAACCTGGGTGGCAGAAGTTGTAGTGAGTCAAGATTGTGCCACTGCACTCTAGCTTGGGTGACAGAGTGAGACTGTCTCTCAAAACAAAACAAGACCCTGAAGTCCAATCATGTCTTTCCTCTCTACTTCACTCAGAATAAAAAGCAAAGTCCTTAAGTTGACTTACGAGGCCGAACATCATCTGTTCCCTCCTTACCTCTCTGATGCCATCTCCTCCCACTCTTGCTCACTCCCACAGACTTGCCAGGCATGTTCCTGCCTCAGGGCCTTAGCACCAGCCACTCCCTCTACTTGGAATACTCTTGCCAAGATGTCTATGGGGCTAACTTCCTCTCTCACCTCTAAGTCTTTGTTCAAATACCATATTCGCAGTGAGCTCTCCTTGACAACCATACTAAAAACCTCAGATTTCCCCTCCATGCTGATCCTTCTGTACGTGATCTATTCCTTTTCTGTAACAATTATCATTTTCTAATATATGATATAATTTACTTATTTAGTAAGAATATTGTTCATTATCTGTCTTTCTCTGCTAGAATGTAAACTCCACACAGGTGGGGGGTCTTTCTCTGTTTTGATCACCAATGTATTCTAAGAACTTGGAATAGTACTCAATAATAATTGCTTAGTGAGTAAATACAAAGGATGAGGTTCACCAGGGGAGGGTTTGGAGAAGAGAACAGAGGGGAGGCCATCCCAGGCTTGGGATGAACTTGTGCCTTATCTCACAACAGGCCATGTGTGAGGATCTGAGAGTCCGAGTGTTGGGCACAAGTTCAAGAGTCGGGCTAGGGCATCACCCAAAATGGAGAGATTCAGTTATCAAAGAGACTAGGCTGGATTTACCTCTGGAATCTGGTGGAGGACTTGGCTTTAGGTTGGGATTTTACCATCATCATGACCAAAGAATACTTGGGGATAATAATGCCAAAGGGATGTGCAGGGCAAGAATGAGGTGGTTGGGAATGGAGGCAGACCGGGAATTCAGGTGGGGGGGGGGGTAGCTGAAAGAACAGGCATGTGTCTTCTAAGTCTGGAAAAAAGATTGAGGTGGAATTAGAGGGCCTGAAGGAAAATTGTGTACGCAAGTGGGAGGAAGAGCCTGGGTCCCTGGAAGCTATCATCTCCAAGAGCATGTTCCATCTCCACTGAGGGCAGAATCAAAAGCCATGGGCCACACCTAAAGTCGAAGGAACTAGAGTGAGACATCAAGAAAGGCCTCCCAACAATGTGACAGGTGGTGGAGGGGAAGCACTGGGCCTTTTTCTCTGGAAAACTTGAGCAGGACCTAACTGGGTGCATACCTGAGCCAGGCTAACCCAGAGGGCACTGTGAGGCTCTGGGGTGGGAGTGTGGTACTAGAGCCCTGGAGAGGGTTCCTGCCTCTGCCTGGCTCCCAACTCCATCCTCTCACCTGCGAGGCTTCTGAGCTTCTAAGCACGCAGAAATGTCCTCTCTCCTGACCTCAAGTTTCTCCATCTTTTCAGAGTGGAAAGTGAGAGTATTTAGTATTCCAAGGCCCCACCAGTCCAGGGGCCAAAACATGTTTACCACATCTCCTCAGAATATCAGTGCTCAACTCGGTTTTGTGGTGGCCTCAGGGTACAAGCCAGGAGAAGCAGAAAATACCTTTGGAGGTTATACAATTCAGTGGTTACTGCAGTACTAACGGAGTGAGGACATGGGTGGCCTGGGAGTTCTGAGGTTCCGGGGAGACTTACTTGTCACTGTATAACTTTTGGTGCCTTTTGAGTTTTGAACCATGTACGTGTATTTCTTATTCAAAAAACATAAAACAATTAAAATCAGATGAAAGCAACAACAATAATAACAACAAAGAATAGGTCTAGGGAAGTGGGAACTTGATGCCTCCAATTGCTACCCTGAAGGCAATGACCTGCCTCCTCTTGCCCATGTGTACCCTCCTCCACGTCTGGCATCTCCATTCTCTAGAGGCTCAGAGAGGGGTGTGGAAGGCCTGATGTCACCCAGCATTTAAGACTAGCAAAATTCTGGGGCTTAGCTGTCCAGACTCTCAGTGTTGTCTTTCTTTTCTGATCCTCAATGACCCCGTCTACTCATTGACCTCTCCATGTTTTTGGCAGAACTTTGCATATGCTCAAATCAACCTTCAATGGGTCGTTTTTAAAACTGTGTGGTCTTAAATGCCACCTTTCCCAGGAAGTAATCTCTTTTCACAAAGAGAAAGATGACAGCTCTCCTCTCCCCCCGTGTGGTGTCTGATGGTTCATTCCCTCCCTTCCTGCCTCCCTCCTCCCTACCACCCTCTACCACTAAAGTGGCTCTCCACTGAAACTTGGCCCTGTCTCTGATGAGATATGTGACCTTGAGCAAGTCATTTAACCTTTCTGTGTGTCTGTTTCTTCATCTGTAATTGAGGATCCTGACCTTCCTCCCATGGCTCTTCACTTATGCATTTGTACAGCAAGCATGTATTCTGTGCCTGGTGCTGAACCTGGCACTGAGGATCACACAAGAAAATGTATGTGAAGTTAATACAGAGACAGAAAGTTACTGCCAAGGCCTCCTTCCTTGGATGCTGTTCTGGGCTGGGTGCTCCAACCCCCTCATCTGGCATGCCCTTGGAGGAACTGCTTCACAGTCTACTCCAAACCTCTCAACTTCTAGCATTGCTCCTGGGCTGAAGCCGATATCCTGCTCTGCATGAAGGGTCAGGGGGTGCAGAAATAGCCTATTTCCCAGGCTTTTTCATTTGGTTAGATCCTTAGGTACCACTTTGCCTACAAGAAGGAATAATGCTGAAATCTGTCTGTTGGTCTTTAGTCTGGAATTTTCAATGTCCACCTCTCTTGCCCTCTGTGGGCCTTTCCCTGGGACTTGGGCTGGAACAAGGGGTAGGAAATGGATTCTATCCATGTCCTCACTCTGCTCATTTCTCTCCTTTCCTGAATCCCATGCATCCATGGAGATTGGTACAGTGGCTAAGATTCTGGGATTGGAAACTCACATTTGTCTCCCTCCAAATGTAAGCTGGGCTGTGGAGGAAAGATGGTCCCTTCTTTAAAATGAACACCACCATCTCAGAGTATACAGGAGCTTGCTTCAGGCAGAGGAGGCAGAGCTGCCTTCCAGAGCTCTTGGCAGGAAGCTGTCCCCACTCCCTGCCTGACCACCGAGGATTGGGTGAGCATCACTGGGAGGGAGCGGTGTTTATAGAAAAAACGTGCTGCTTCAGCCCTGGTCATTGCTGATGGACCATGGCAGCAAGGAAGGTCAAGTCCAGACTAAGGAGGTACTTCTCATTATCAGGGACTGGGTTTAAGGTGAGAGGTTGGTTGGAACTACTCAGACATGGTCTTCCCAGAGCAAGGAGGAAGGATGAGATGATCTGGGAGTTGTGAAGGACTCAGGGGTTCCATGATGTTGCAGAGCTGGCAGTGACTGGGAGGATGCCAGGGAGATGTCAGTTCACCCATGTCTAGAGCAGAAACCCCATGGTCAGAGACCAGGTATCTGGAACCCCAACATTCCCAGCATAATGCCTCGCACAAGGCTAACTGGAGACTGAGGAAGACAAGTCCTTCCCTGGAAGATGGTGCCAACACTGTGCTCACAGAAGGACAGCTACTTTAAAGCCCCAGCAGGAAAATGATCCCACACTGTGGGACCTGGAAGTACTTCTTCATGTCCAGCCTCAATCCTCCTTACCACAGCTCAATTGGATCTCAGTCCAACCTGTGGGATTTGTCCATGCCCAGAGGTGAAACCCAGCAAGGAATATGGACTTTGCTTTTAGGCCTACGCTGTTGGCTGTGGGAGATAGAACAAGTTGGCCAAACTGTCGAGTACCTGTCTCCACACCTGGGGAGTCCCCAGGAAAGTGGAGAGGGAAGATCTTCCAGGGAACGGCCACCCTCCATGAGGAGATAAGCAGAACAGCAGAGGGCAAGGAAGGTTCAGTGGCCAGGAGAGGTGGGGCTCAGGGAGTCCCTCCTGGCTGGGGGTGAGGGAGCTTCCTGGATGCTCAGCCTCTCCAAGCCCCTGAGGAAAGACTGTAGCTTCTGGAGGGCAGGAGCTGATCCTGCATCATCTCGGCAGACCAGTGCCCAGCACACAGCAGATGCTCAAAACACATGGGTTGAATGAATGAGCCTGCGGTCAAGAGCCTGCCCAGCCAGCAGGTGGAGTGGGTCTTTGGAGAAGGGATTCCCCTCTCTGGGCCTCCATTTCTTCATTTGTAGAATGAGGGGCTGCAGTAGATTGTCTCTAAGGTTTTGTCAGCCCCTGACGATCTGTGGTTTCCTGTTTCCCTGCTCTCTCGTCAATTCCTTGCCTATTCTTTTTCCCTCTACAGCTTCTCTTTTCCTTTCCCTTTAAGTCTTTTTCTTCCACTAACCCCCAATCTCTGCACCCCCATTTTCAGTCTCTCCCCTCCCCAGACAATTTCTCTGGCTTTCCCCTTTACAGGTATTTCTTCCTCTCTGCTTCTGATAACTGCCCCCATCACTACCCTTCCCTGATGCCTTCAGTGTTCTGCACCCCCTGCCCCCCAAAAGCCGCCCATTCCAGTGCCCCTTTCATCCACCTTAGATGCCAGAGGCGGGAGATTGGAAGAAAAGGAGGAGGGTCCTAAAGCAGCCACTCCCCTGCCCTGCAATGGCCCCACCGCGATGTCCCCGTCCCCCCGCCCCGCCCCCCTCCCCGCCACGCCTCTCCCTCAGCAGCCAGTGCCGCACTGAGCCCTCGCCCCACGCTAATGCTAATGCGATCTGGAGAGACCCGGTCGGTGCGGGCGGCGGGCAGTCTGGCCCAGCGTCCAGGGCGGCGCTGATGGATGGTCCCCTGACAGTAATCGCAGAATGAGGACGCGCAGGTGACGCTCTTGCCCGAGGCCCTGCTGTTTGGCTAGCCCAGGAGTCTCTCCCTCCGCAGCGTCTGCCTTCTGGGCGCTCTCAACTCACTCGGCTTTGCGGGAGGCTCAAAGCCTCAGGTTAGGGCAGAGGTGCGGGCTTCCTCTGCTCTCTCTCTCCCAAGACACTGGTTTCTGTTTGGGAACAGATCCCTTCTTGGATCCACGCTGCTTCTGTGATTCTGAACAAGCCACCCATCTCCTGGAGTCTCAGTTCTCCCTTCTGTATAATGGCCTTTAAAGCCTGGTGGAGTGTTGGGGGCACGGGAGATAATACTGAGGAAAATCACGCTCTCTCTTAAGTAGAAACCGAATTTCACTTTTAGTTTACAATGCTCAGAATAATCTGGGCCAAATGTGCGAAGCCAAGTAAGAGCTGAGTGGCTACTCACACACAGAATATATGTTTATACACATACACATAATGTTTTTAGCATACCAGGACTGCTTAGACGTCTTTAAAGAGAACACTAGCCCAGGTACTTCTCCAGGGAGGCGACTGTCTCCAGCAGGACTGTTTCTCCCCTCTACTGAGGCCACCTACCTGTCTTAAGCCCCCAGACCCCATCCGTTCTGGGGTTCCCCTGCAATCCAGAGCCAGGCTGAGGTGGTATGCGGGAAGATCTCCCTTTGGAAAATGTTTCTGGATAATTTCCCAACTCCTTGACCACGTTCTCCCCACCTCACCCACATTCAGATAACACAGGTTCTAAGGCTCCTTCACTCCTCCACCCCTGGGGGATACTCCTTGGGCCTGGCCCTGTGGAGGGGCTGGGAGGTGGGATCCAGAACCAATTGCAATTCTGAACGCACACCCAGCCGCCTCCTCACTCCCTTTTAACCTTTCCCTCTAGTCAGAAGCCAAATTGAGATAGTCTTGAGTTTTGATTTAATTCCTGAAATGGAGTCATAATCTGCTTAGTGTCCTTTCTCCCGAGTCCTAGATACTGAAGTGTGTGTGTCTGTCAGGGGGAGTTAAAAGAGCAGCTCTGTGACCTTTGGAGGACCGTCACACTCACTCACCTCCCAAACACCACCAAAGAGCAGGAGACGCCATGGCACTGAGTTGCTGGGTAGTATGATGATGGTACTGACAACTCACATTTACTAGGCACTTACCACATGCCAGTACTGAGACAGGCACTATACACGCATTTCTCACTTAATTCTCACAACTACCTTTCAGGTAGGTACCATTCATATCCCCAACTTACAGATGAAGAAACTGAGGCTTAGCGAGGTTAAGCAGTTTATGTTCCATCCTGCAGTGATCACAGACGGTCCTCGACTTATGATGCTTTGACTTACAATTTCTCAGCTTTATGATGATGCCGAAGTGATATGCATTCATTAGATACTGTACTTCTAATACTCATACAACAGCTCTGTTTTTCACTTTCAGTACAGTACATTATAACATGTTGAATCTCATGTTGAATACATGAGATGAATAAATATCTCATGTTGAATACATGAGCTATTCAACACTTTATTATAAAATAGGCTTTGTGCTAGATGATCTTGCCCAACTGTAGGCTGATGAATGTGTCCTGAGCACTTTAAGGTAAGCGAGGCTGAACTATGATGTTTGGTGGGTTAGGTGTATGAAATGCATATCCACCTTACAATATTTTCAGCTTGCTACAGCTTTATCGGGACACAGCCTCATCGTAAGTCAAGGAGAGTCTATTATTAAGCGGCAGAGCCCAAATTTGAAACTACACAGTCAGACTGCAGAGCCTGTGCTCTTAACCACTTAGTTGTGTGACACCTGGCAGGGTATTTAACTTCTGCATGCCCTGTTCCCTCATTTGCAAAACACAGATAAGTAGGGATGATAAGACATTCCCTTCAAAGAATTATGTTGATTAACTGAGCTAAGGCATTCACCATACTCACAGTAAGCATTCAGTAGTTTAGGTGCCCTACACATTGGAGCAGGGTTGAGAAAGGGAAAGAGTACAATCCAATGGGCTATTAATTATTCATTGTTACTGTTGATAATAATAGTTATCATGCATTGAGAGCCAACTGAGCATAGGCCACCCTACAAGGTAAAAATTATGTCTGTTTTACAGATGAAGAAACTGAGTTTCACATAAATTACGTAAATTGCCTAAAGCTATCCAGTTAATAAGTGACAGAACAGAGCTCTTGTTTAAACACTGGGCCCTTGACTCCAAAGCCTGCAGTTCCCAGCACCCCCAGGGTCACCAAAACCTGGCCTCTCCTGGGGGAGGTCAGGGCTGAGGCCAACAAGCCCAAGTCACACCCTTTACCACCTGGGACCTGATTTTCTCCAGGTGAGCAATGTTTTCTTAAAAGAACAGGAGGACAGTAAATAATTAACCAAGACAGTTTCTCCCTCCCTGAAGCCAAGGTAGAACCTCCCCACTACAGCCAACCGCCACTCTCCTCACTGCTGTTTCCTCTGTGCTCAAGTTTGTGGCCATTAAATAGAAGAGGAGAAAGTTTGAGCCAGGCATGAAATATTTATCAGTTAATTACAATATGCAGATTCTGTTCCTAGGGGTGATTTATCTTTTTGGAAATATAGGAAAAGATCCTGGAAACTTGTATCCTAATCGCTTGGCCTATTATTGTAGCAACCAGGTAGAAACTGCATTTACTATGTAACTACAAATTTTCCAACTACTAGAGGTATCTGCCTCTGCTTCTATCACTGGTGATCTGGGGACCATATGCTTTTCTGATAAGAGATGAGCCTCTTAGAGGTCAATTTGTCAATTCCTCTGTCTCCTCTGGGGGTGGCCCCTTTGTAAATTCTAATAGCTATAGGAAATGAAAAGGGTGAGAGTCTCTGAAATTCTGGGATCTCAAGAGAAGCTAATTCTAAGTGAAAACCTCCCGGACTGAAGCAGTGCCTGTGGTGAGGGGATGTCCAAGGTTGAGAAGCAGCTCTCAGCTGAGTATCCCTCCCCTCTCTTGCTCTGGCAGAAGTGTCAGCCTTCCCCTTATCTCTTGTATCATTTCCTAGGGCCTGCATCTCAACCTCTGGCTACACATTAGCAACCTGGGGAGTTTTAAAAATCCAGATGCCATGGTGTATATGTGCCACATTTTCTTAATCCAGTCTATCATTGTTGGACATTTGGGTTGGTTCCAAGTCTTTGCTATTGTGAATAATGCCGCAATAAACATTCGTGTGCATGTGTCTTTATAGCAGCATGATTTATAGTCATTTGGGTATATACCCAGTAATGGGATGGCTGGGTCAAATGGTATTTCTAGTTCTAGATCCCTCATATACACCATGGAATACTATGCAGCCATAAAAAATGATGAGTTCGTGTCCTTTGTAGGGACATGGATGAAATTGGAAATCATCATTCTCAGTAAACTATCGCAAGAACAAAAAACCAAACACTGCATATTCTCACTCATAGGTGGGAACTGAACAATGAGATCACATGGACACAGGAAGGGGAATATCACACTCTGGGGACTGTGGTGGGGTGGGGGGAGGGGGGAGGGATAGCATTGGGAGATATACCTAATGCTAGATGACGAGTTAGTGGGTGCAGCGCACCAGCATGGCACATGTATACATATGCCCAGGCCCTACTACAGGCCAACCAAATTGGAATCTCTGGAGGTGGGACCCAGGCATCAGTATTTTAAAAAACTTGTGGCTGGGCATGGTGGCTCACACCTGTAATCCCAGCACGTTGGGAGGCCGAGGTGGGCGGATTACCTGAGGTGAGGAGTTTGACACAAGCCTGGCAAACATGGTGAAACCCCGTCTCTATTAAAAATACAAAAATTAGCTGGGCATGGTGGCAAGCACCTGTAATCCCAGCTACTCGGGAGGCTGAGGCAGGGATAATTGCTTGAACCCAGGAGGCAGAGGTTGTAGTGAGCCGAGATGTGCCACCGCACTCTATCCTGGGTGACAAGAGCAAGACACCATCTCAAAAACAAAAATGAGCAAACAAAAAAACTCGCTGGGGGTTCCAATGTGCAGCGAAAGTTGAGACCCTCTAGAGCTAATAGAAGAGTATCACTGCCCGGTAAATGGGTCCTGCTCCCCATTCTGCTATTTACATATGAGGTCCCCTGTAGGAGGGCCTGGTGCTAGGTGTCCCGGCGAGATGTGGACATCTTTCTGGCTCTTCTCCTTCTCTTATCTAAGTCCTCACATGGTGGGAAAATACCTCTCTAATGCTATGTAGAAAGAGAAGCAGGGAGTGCCCCTTCTAGCGTGGATGCCTTTGGTTCCCAGATCTGGATTTGAGGGGCTGGCTCTATCTCTTAAGAAGACATTTACCTAGCATTGGTAATGGAGATGGGGCCTTAATAGGGCTAGGGAGGCACACCCAACTCCAGACCCAGCTCTCTGCTGTTCCCCTTCCCAGTGCACACAATCCCAATTCCCACTCCAGAAAATTTTTTAAAAACATATCTTAAAAAAAAAACCTCGAAAAGCCAAGCAGACCCTCAGCTTCAAGGTATCTCCTCATTCCCTCTCTCTCTCTCTCTCTCTCTGTCTCTCTGAATCTACAAAGAAGGAGTGAGTTTTGTCTCTCCAAGTACTCAGAGCCTTAGATCACAAAGGGGCCTTAGATCCTGGTCTTTGGGAGATCTTTGACCACCACCTCTGCTGTGGCACGACCATTGTCAAAATGCTAGAAAGAAGAGAGACTGGCTCTTAGACCAAGGGAATTTGGGATTTGAAAGGACTTCCAATTCCAGTTCTATAGATTTCCTTCCCATTAGCCTCTTCATGTGCATCAAATGTAAATGGCAGGCTAAACCTACAGGATGAAGAGAGTTGAAAGACTGCTGCCTAAAAATGCCCTTTTCCAAATCTGTGGGTGCAGAAGCACATTGAAAGGCAGCTACCCAGCCTGGCGGTGTGGCACATGCCTGCAGTCTCACATACTTAAGAGGCTAAGGTGGGAGGACTACTTGAGCCCAGGAGTTTGAGGCTTCAGTGAACTATGATGGTGCCACAACACTCCAGCCTGGGAAACAGAGCTGGACCCCATTTCCAAAAAAAAAAAAAAAAAAAAAAAAAAAGTAGTTACCCAGGTAAGGTGGATGATCAAGTACACCCAGTGAGAAGCACACAAACCTTACCCTTTACCCAAACTCTCTCCCTTACCTGGCCCATTTCCGGTCTCTAGAGGAGGATCAGTTAGGGGGTGTGACCCAAGTTACCCAGATAATTAACTGTGGAAGCAAGTTTTTTTTTCACTCCTTTGGCCTCTAAATATGAGAGATCTTTACATCTCTTGCCTAGCTCCCTCTTATTCTCTACCCTCTCCCCAACACGCACGCAAATCCTAACAACAAAAAATCCTAAATATAGGAAGACAAACCTTCCTGACTTACCATTTTGGCCCACCTGCAACCCCTGTCCCCCGCCCCCTCCCCAATGTTTTTCTCTCCTGAGCCTCTGCTCTTCGCTTCTAAAATAAAAAAAGAAGAAGAAGAAGGAATTTTCAATAGTCCAACTTGTCAAGCGAAGACCATCTTTTAACCTTCAACAGCAGCGAAAGCCGTGTGAACTCTTGGTGAACCAAGACTGAAGTCATAAATCACTCGTACAAAGGCGGCTGCGGAGGCTGGCGCGGGCTGCTGCACCTTTAACGCTTTCTGGCGCTGACAGGCGGCGGCCCAGCTAAAGTTCACAGCGCCCGGGGAGGGCCCGCCTCCGCCTCCCCTCCCGCCCCCGCCTCCCCTCCCCCAGGCCGGCCCCGGCCCCCGGCCCCGGACTGGCCCGCCGCGCGGCCGCTTGAGCTGCGAGCTGAGGAGGCCCGTTGGCTGTTCCCGCAAAGAGTGGGGGGCGCATTTTCTCTCCTGCCAGCCCGCTCCATCCTGGTCGTTTATTCCCGGCCTTCCCTCACCCCCCACCCCCACAGCCTGCTGTACGTAAATAGGCAAATAGATCTACAGGGACACAATAATTTAGCTTGGTTGGTCTTTGGCATTTTCTACAAGACCCCAAGAGATGGACTTTCCTCTCCCCTTCCTCCTTTTAGAAATGGCATCCTTCATCTCTGTCTAGGCAGGCCCAATTATCCAGATCCTCGGGGCTCCAATAGGGTCTGAGTCATTGGAACCAGGAACACCTGGCTGAAACATGCCACATAATTAGATTTTCTTTTTCTTTACCTTTTCTTTCTTATTTTTATAAGAGGCCCGGAATTAGCCTCTTCGACTGGGGCGGAGTAGCTGGGGTGTGAGAAAGGAACACCTTCATACAACTTCCAGCTTTCAGCCCCTTGGAGAGATTTCCAAATTCCCCGGAGCCTCTAGGACTTCCTTTCCTCGATCTCTCGGCCACCTCCTCCTCCTTCTCCGATCTTTTTTTTTTCCCTCCTCCCACTGTCTTCTCTACGGTTTAATCAAAGTTCAGCTACTCCACTTGCCTCTCCTCTCATTTCTTTCGGAAAGGGGAAACCAGACGACCCAGCGGCCACGGGACGAGTCACCCCAACTCAACCCCAGCAGGACGCTGGAGGGGCCTCCCTTGCCCACCTCTCTTCGCTAGCACTGGCCTCCCGCACCTGGGTCTGCAGTCCCTCCGCCATCTCACAAGTGTGCAGCCGCTAGGCCTGGGGGATCCGAATGACTGGGGCTGGATAGGAATGCCTTCGTGTTTCCCAAGACCCCCGGGCCTGCTCCACAAAGTTTGAAGGGTGGGTACACCCCGACCCAGGCAAGTTACTCCCCCAAACCCATGACTGACTAATCTGATATGACAAAAGCCCATGATGGATTTGGTATATGTTAATTCACAATGCCCTTTCCTCCAGAATTTAACTATAAGTTAATACACACCGGAAACCATGCGCATACACTCTCCTTAATGGGCTTAGTAATGTATTAGTGAGTCCCAACGATGCATACAAATGTGCTCTGCGCTCTGTAGACCCCTCAAGATTTATGGGCCTTGAGCTCTCTGAAGCTGTAAACAAGGAGAAAAAAAAAAGAGAAAGCGAAAGCGACTGGGGGGAAGAGACAGAGGCCTGACTCGCCCCTCCAGGTTTTGGAGAGAAGGGATTCTTTATGTATTTTCCTTTCCTTGCAAGCTCGGTGCGTGTGGGTTTTGGCGTTGGTCTGGGGGTGGTGTTCTGCCTGAATGCTGGTGTGCGTGGGCAGTGTGTTGTTTGCGTGCTGGGGTAGGATGCCTGCCTCTTCGGATTGCTGTGCAGGGGCCTGAACACAGCAGGCATTTGTGAGCATATATGCGTGAGTGTGCACTGTGTTAGGGTGTGTGTGTGTGTATGTGTGTGTGTGTGTGTGTGTGAGAGAGAGAGACAGACAGGGAGAGGCAGGCTTCCCCCTGGGCCAGGCTGCTGTCCCTTGAACGGTGGTGAACAAATCTCTAACGACAATCTTAATAACAATAAATAATGAATAATAATAATAAAACAGTAGTTAACAGTCACTGCATAACAGAATAACAATAAAATGCAAGAGGAAATATTTTGAGGTGGAGACAGAAGGAGTCAGGATCACAGCATCTGAGGGGGAGATAGGAAAGGAAGGGAGGAAGAAAGCTTCTTAATATGCTCTTGGTGGGGCTGGGGTTGGGAACCCCTTTCCCAGACAAGGGATGGAAGAGGAGAAGGAGAGCCAGGAGGCCACTCTTTATTGCTTTTTTTCTCAGGCTTCTGCTTTGTGTGATCAGGGAAGGGATCCCACATATGGGAATGGTTAATGGATTTTGGGACTCTCTAGGAGCCCCTGTTTTAAGAAGGAGGCCAAATGTGCAGGCTCAGGCCAAGCAGCAGAGATGAATGAGGTGATGACCACAGCCTTGATCCGGCAGGAGCTCAGAGATGCCCGGGAAGACGGGGGGCCCGAATGGAAGCAGAAAAACACTTATGGCCGCTGGGAAGTTGGGAGAGCCAGGCTGGGGCTCCGGCAGGCCCAGGGAAAGTTCCCTTTCTAGGCTCTTTATTAAAAAATTTAAAAGGAGGAGTTGAGGCGCCTTGAATTTTCCTTCGCGAGTTTGGAGACCAGCCGATTTTTCATGAAGCAAGCAAGGGCCGCGGTCCCGGATCCTGCAACATATACCTCATTTTCTCCAGGTACAGTTTTCTGGTCATTTAATTCGTTTGTTTTCTTGGGGGAGATGGGAATCACAGGCGTAGAGATAGTAAGTTTGCTAGAGAGGAAGCCACCCCACAGTTTCGGGTCTAACGAAATCCCTCCTTTAAAAACATTTGTACCCCCAATAAAAATAAAATTAAAGAGGAATATAGAAACACAAATTAGCCAACTTTTTTAAAAGAGAAAAAAGAAAAGAAAATCATCGTAACAGATGAGCGTGAGAACTTCTAAAAAATTTGTCACGAACCCTTTCAGAGGTCTGGATTCTTTTTCAGTAGCCGGTGACCCATTTGGTCTGAAAAGAGAAATACACTATCCACTGAGTCACTTATTTAAAGCCAGCACACACACACACACACACACACACGCATTCAGAAAGCCCTGGGTGCCCTCGCATTTGAAAACAACACCGGGTGGAGGACGCTGCGATACCTAATTGGACAAAACAGCAATAAAATAAGACCAGTGGAAGTGCTGAGCACAGGGCGCAGGGCTAGGGCCCAGGTTTTGTGTTCCAGGCTGCCGGCGAGGCAGCGGCCCCGGGAGATGGGGCGCCGGGCGGTCAGGCACCGGCTGGCGACTCTGCTCGGCCTCCGCAGCCCGGCCTGCAGCCCCTTTCCCCCAGCCTCTGGGCCTCGTGGGCTCTCTCCGCTCCGACGCCTGTTCGGGGCTTCCCTGTTGAGAGGGTTTTAGGCCGAAGGGCCGAACGACTCAAGCCAGACTCTGCTTTTTCATTTTTCTCCCTTAGGCCTCTCCACTTGCCCGAGCTCTCAGCCACCAGGAGACAGACGGAAGGGGCTTCTGGGCTGTGTTGGGAGCGGGCATTGTCCCCTACCCACTCCTGCACAGTTTCCCAAAGTCCAGCGACCTCCGACCCTCCTTGGGGAAAAAAATACCAGTACCCAGACACCTCTGCACCCTGTTATATGACTGGGCTTGCTTCAGGAATATCTTACAAAGAAGAAGAAGGAGGAGGAACGGCTTGGAGTCATGTTTACATCTAGTTCTACTGATCCGTTCACATCTGGAGAGTTTATTTATAACTCCCTCTATAACTCTCTGTTTGGAGGCACTGGTGGCTCTACTGACAGACTGATGTCTAGGAAATATTGCTCTATGTCTAATGGTACCTAAATGTGCTGTGGTTGTATTTACAGATTTACGTTTGAGGGAAATATAATTATTTCCATTGTATTTGTGCATATACAGTAGTTATAGGAGCAGATTTATATATGGGAAAATATGCGACTCCCTTACAGCCATCCGGCTTTATGTACATTTGATATCCTGACAGATTTATATCTCTGAAGAGCTATATAGATTAAAACGTATATTGTTAGAATTATGTATCAGGAGATATATACTTATTGATTGCGAAATAGAGTAGTTAGAGCATTCACTTAGAGCCATATATGGCTATGGAGATATTTCTATATTATTATCACTATATATAGGCATATCTATTTATAACTGCATAGTTATAAAAATAGACATAAGTAATTATAGTCCTATATGTGCATGCTGCAATCTCTCTCTAGAGTTATAGACACTTTCAAATATAACTCTATAGAGAGATCTGTATGTATATAAGGTGTAATTATCTAGTGATGTGTTTACGTTGGGACTTAGGCCCGTCTCTCTAGAACAGACACATTTATATGTAGGGGCTGGGAGAGACTTATTCACAGATATCTGCAGAGGGCCAACTGGAAACACTGTATCTACCCTCTAGGAAACCAGCTAGAAGAGTTGTGTACTTATGGAGGGATGGAGTTACAAAAGGGTAAATAGAGCTCAGGGAGCCTTAAGGAGGGGAGGTGAATGGAGGGTGGGTGGGCTCGGTTTGAACAGATAGTGGGAGGAAAGGGGTAAACACCAGCACCCACCAGAAGGCGAGAACCAGTTTTGTGAGGGGCTGGTGCAGATGACTGTGGACAAGGAGCTTGTAAAATGAGAAGCGGCTAACAGTCCTGCCACCTCACCCTGAGACACTCTCCACCGAGGAAGCAGACTTCAGTTTGGCTTTTAGTGCACTGTAGGATAGGGACTGTCGTGTCACTCCTGTAGTCCTAGAGCGTTTCTCTTGAACCCTAATTTTTAGGTCTCAAAGAGTGGGCTTCAGAGATAAAGAGGTTTAGGCAGGGACAGGGTGAGGAGCGTGGGGTGTGCTTTCGCTTTCCAACAAGTAAGGTAATCCAGGAAAGTGAGTTAATTTGGCCAAATAAAGCTTGTTTTTATGTGGGCCTCCTGTGCCCTGGTGGGGATGTAGGATGGGACCAGAATCTGGTGGACTGAGGAGTGAATTTCCAAGTATTGGGCCTGCTCTGATGGGGGCTTGGGGAGGTTGTCCTCACCACCCGCCCTCCTTCTCTGAGGCCTGAGTGGCCTAATTCCCTCTGGGTACAGAGGGACTCCTTCAGCTCCCTAACAGTGCTGCCCTGGGTCTTTTCAGGGAGAATTTGACTTTAGGAACAGGGAACATGGACTTACCCCACTAGATCTCACTTCTCCTACTCACAGCTACACCACTCTTACGTCAGCCTCCTTCCAGGCGCCACTCGGCGAGGGGTCCACAGTTCTTCCCCTGCTACCAACCAGCCCAGTGGGGAAATACCTCCCACGACTGCCAGTTTTTGTGTTTGTGTGTGTGTGTGTGTGTGTGTGTGTGTGTGTGTTTTAACCAGGAAGTTACAGATAACTTCATTAACTGCGTGAAGGAATTGTCCTGAACTCAGTCTCTGTGGCCAACCTAGCCTCCAGGATCTCTAGGATGCTAGGAAGGGAGTGGAGACCCTTGGACCAGGCTAACCACCATGTGCCATCCTCCACACACCCCTGCCCACAGGACTAGGAATTCCTGCAGTGCAGGGACTCTGTCTGCTGCCTGGCACAGAATGGTTGCCCAAACATACTTCTTGAGGTAAACGGAATGGCAGTCAATACAAAAACTCACCCTCACTCTGCACACCACCATAGCCACTGCTGGCTAGCAGGCACCCTAGCCAGGCTAGGAGATAACATGGTGGCTGGCAGCAGCTTGGGCTTTGACCGGACCAGTGGTTAGTAGCGTGGGAGAGCATCCTGAGTCTAGGATGGGGCAGGGACTGGAGCAAGGCACCTGGAATCCAGAAATTTGGGGGTAAGCCAAGGCAGACCCACCGCCCCAGTGCACTTCTGCTTTCTATCTCCAGTCTCATGGCTCCCTGGACCCCCAAAAGTTATGAAAACTAAACCAGAGCTGAGAACTGGGCTAGGATGGAATTGCCTGTCAACCCGAGGGATGCAAAGAGGAACCACCGTTGGGTCCATTAAGAAATCCACAAATAAAATAAAAATAAATCAGTGTGACACAGACAACCTGGCTGAAGGAAAGGTTTCTCTCTACGCCTCAGCCCTGCTCCAGGGCTACCAAACAGATCAGGCTTAATATTTAAAATGTTTAATAGTTAAAATTTTTTAACAATTTAACTTTAAAAAGGTCACACATTTTCTGATCCAGCAATGCCCCAATCAGATTGTTTCATTTTATTATTATTATCAACACTGTCCCCTTTTTGGCACCTGTAAAATAGTTCCTTTCGGGAGTTTGGAGCCAGGCCAGGCACCGTCGGTGCATGGGATGAGATGGGCAGGTTTGGAGCTCCTCTGTCTAGTGAGGATCACGGTCTGCAGAGAAGGGTTGGCCTCCCCGTCTCCTATCAAGGCTTAAAGCAAGGAGAACCATCCCAAATTTGGTTCCTTTTCCCCTAAGTATCCTTAGAGGCAATCCACCCTGTGACTAGGTGACTAGGTGAAGGACTGAGGTCCAGAAAGGAGCTATCTTAAACCTGGAATCCCATTTCCTAGTCTGCAGCCTTAAGCAGTTACCCTCTCAGACAACTAGCCCTCTCCTTCCTCCGCATGAAAACCCATGGCTTACAGGGATGGTTGTTGCTTTCCCTAAAGAAATTCAGGAAGGGAGATGTGAGGGTCAGTTCTCAGCGGTGGCGTTCTTTAAAGGGGACGCAGCCTGACTGCCAGGAGGGGAGAAAGAGTCGGCCCAGCCAATGCGCATGCGCGAAGCACAAGCGGTTTCTCCCGTCACAGTGGTTCCCACGGTTGTCTTAGAAACCAGTCCCCGAGGCTTGGCAAAGGGGGAGACTTCCGTGGCAGTGCTTGGGTGTCAAGGCTCTGAGGCTCCGGCCTGACGGCTCCACTGGGTCGAGGGGAAAGTCTCCGGATGCCAAGAGTCACAAAGGGCCGAACAGGGTGAGGAAACCCGACGCAGAGTCCGGAGAAGGCAGCATGGAATCCCTCCCTCAGGCCTCTCTGGACGGTGTTGGTGGGGGTGAGTCTCCCCAAAAGTCGTGACGCGGTGATCTCGAGGACAGGACGGCCTGCGTGCCCCTGGGGTGCTCTCTCACCGAAGGGTCGTTCTCGTCGAAAGCAGAACCCCACAGCCTCAGGGGTTGCCTGGGTGTGTGTCTTTCAATGCCTTTGCTATAAGACTCTGTGTGTGTGTCTGTGTGTGTATGTGTGTGTGTGTCTCCCATTCTCTCTTCTCTCTCTGTCTCTCAGTCTCTGTGTGTTTCTTTCCCTCTCTCTGTCGGTTTGTGTGTGTGTGCCCGTGTGCGTGTGTGTCCTTGGCCGAATGTGCCCTGTGCACCACAAAGCTGTTTCTCGCATGGCGGCCTGTCTTTGGTGAGCCTGTTTCTGCCTCTCTGCCTGGGTCATGAGACCGGTTGTCAATCCTTTTCGCCGACGCGGTTCCGCTTTGGGTGTGTGAAGGCCTGGCCCACGTGAGGAGATTCTTCGGTCCCGGAGCAATTGAAATATCCCCATCCTGAGCGGTCTCTTTTCTAGGATCAAGATGAACACACTGCAGACGAGGACACGAGCCCCACAGGAGCTCTTTGTCCCGCCGGAGACCAGCGGACCCACGTCAGAGAAGATGCTTGTATCTTTTCACGGCTCTTCTCTGAGAAATGAAGCCACACCACAATACGGTCTGGAAGAGGAAGCCGGGAATGGGAGATGGCAACAGTCCCTGTCACTGGAATGCTGGCCTCTCTGGACAAGCCACCCTTTTGGAACCCCATCCCTTATGACCCTGGCAGTGGAACGGTGATATATCCCGCCTGGCCGCCGGCGTCTGCCCTGTCCTCCCTCCTGCTCTGCCTCACCTGTTTCTCAAGTGCCTCAATGCCTCTCGCTGACGCCCAATGTCTTCAACAAAGATGACTTCCCAGTCCGTCAGGGAGACATTTCTTCGAGATCCGTGTCGTGATTGTTTCTCTCTCCAAACCTGTTTCTGCTTGATTGGGCAGGTCGCATGACCTGGGAGCTCCTGGCTTCCATTCGTGTCTCAGGCAGGGAAGCTTCCTTCTTCTCCACGTTTCCCCTCATGGTGGGTGGATTGCCTAGAATGAGCGCTAGGCGACCATGACTGGCCTTGTCTTCCAGGAAAGGTAGTGTCGCATTTCCTCTGCACTTCCTGTCTCATTCATGAGGGACATCCTCTCCTCTGCTCCTGGGTGGACTGACTCCCTTGATCTTCTGGCTGAAACGAATGTAAGGGAACCAAAGGGACTGGGCTGGGGCTGGGGCTGGGGCTGGGGCTGTGGCTGGGCGCAGCCTAAGTTGCGTCAGGGCTACCAGGGCGGTGGAGGGTTGGGGGTGGGGCGAATTTTGCAGAAACCTCTTTGCTCCTCTGGTAGGCATGTGAAAACGTGGCTTGGGTCAGGCACAGGACCCCCACCCCCCGGGTCCTAGGTGTTCTTCGATTTTCCCTGGCATTGATGGAAAGGTCAACTGTTTCCCCATTCAACCGGCACATGCCTGGACACCACCCTTTGTTTCGCCGTCGCCCCGTATGCCTCCGGTGACACACATTAACACCAACTGCTGTGGGATAGGCCAGTGCCACGCGTGGTCACATGGTCTCCACCTCGGATTCGCCCCTGTTCCTCTATGCAGGTGTCCTGTAAAGCGCGGTGGGCTTTCCGGAACCCCAGGGCTTTTAGAAGCGGGGCAGGCCACTGCTCTTTCAAAGGAGGAGGGAGGCAGAGGGCTGATGGATAAGTGAATTTGCAGCTGACACTAGGCCTTGAGACCTATGGGATCATTCTGCACTGCAGCGAGGCCCTGCCTGCCTCACCAGATGTGGTGAGCCCATCCTATTTCACTCGAAGGGGGCCAAAATTGGATCTGAACAGGAGGACGGAGAACACAGCAGGCGTCCTGAAGCTCCCCCTCCCTCAGTGGAAGTCGGCTCAAGCAGGTCCTGAGGTGAGGACTCCTCGGGGTTTGGCCCTGGGACAGGAGAAGACACCCACGGCCCCCTCTCCCACGCCGCCCCAAACTGGACCCCGGATCTAGCCGCCGCCGCGGGGCTAGCAGGAGCCTCGCTGCTGCCACGCTCAGATGTGGCAGTATTTAAAGGGGACCCAGCCTGACTGCCAGGAGCGGAGCGCGAGTCGGCTCAGCCAATGCACATGCGCGAGGCGGGAGCGGCTTCTCCAGTCACAGTGGTTCCCACGGTTGTCTTAGAAACCAGTCACCGAGGCTTGGCGAAGAAGGAGCCCTCCGTGGCAGTACTTGGGTTTCGGGGCTCTGAGGCTCCGGCCTAACCTCTTCTTGGGGTCAACGGGAATGTCCCCAGATGCCAGGAGTCGCAAAAGGCCAACTACCATGAGGAAAGCCCAGCGGAGACGGGGGAAGCAGCACGGGATCCCAGCCTCAGGCCTGACCGGACGGTGTTGGTTGGGGTGAGTCTCCCCAAAAGTCATGCCTCCGTCAGTGATCTCTAGGACAGGTCAGCCTGCATGCCCCTGGGCTGCTCTCTCACCCGAGGGTCCTTCTCGTAGAGAGCAGAACATCACAGCCTCAGGGATTGCTTGGGGGTGTGTTTTTCAATGCCCTCCTCCTTAGAAAGAGCAGTGGCCTGCCCTGCTTCTAAAAGCCCTGGGGCTCCGGAAAGCCGACAGTGCTTTACAGGACACCTGCAAAGAGGAACAGGGGCAAATCCGAGGCGGAGACCATATGACTACGCGTGGCACTGGCCTATCCCACAGCAGTTGGTGTTAATGCGTGTCACTGGAGGCATACGGGGAGACGGCGAAACAAAGGGTGGTGTCCAGGAACATGCCGGTGGAAGGGGGAAACGGGTGACCTTTCCATCAATACCAAGGAAAATCGAAAAACACGTGGGACACGCGGGGTGTGGGGAGGGGGGGCCTGTGCCGGACCCAAGCTACGTTTTCAAATGCCTACCAGAGGAGCATAGAGGTTTCTGCAAAATTCGCCCCACCCCAAACCGTCCAAGGCCCTGGCAGCCCTGACACAACTTTGGCTGCACCGAGCCCCAGGACCAGCCCCCAACCCTAGACCAGTCCCTTGGGTTCCCTGACATTCTTTTCTGCCAGATGATCAAGGGCTTCAGTTCACCCAGGAGCAGAGGAGAGGATGTCCCTCAAGAATGAGACAGGAAGTGCAGAGGAAATGCGACACCACCTGTCCTGGAAGTCAAGGCCAGTCACGTTCGCCTAGCGCTCATTCTAGGCAATCCAACCACCCATGAGGGGAAACGTGGAGAAGAAGGAAGCTTCCCTGCCTGAGACACCTAAGGAAGCCAAGAGTTCCCGGGTCATGAGACCAGCCCAATCAAGCAGAAACAGGTTTGGAGAGAGAAACAATCACGACACGGATCTCGAAGAAATGTCTCCCTGACGGACTGGGAAGCCATCTTTGTTGAAGGCATTTGGCCAGAGCTAGAGGCATCCAGGCCCCTGAGAAACAGGGGAGGCAGAGCAAGACGGAGGACAGAGCAGAGGCCGGAGCCCAGGCAGGATACAGCACCGTGCCACCGCCAAGGGCATAAGGGGTGGGGTTCCAAAAGGGTGGCTTGTCCAGGGAGGCCAGCGTTCTAGGGACAGGGATTGTTGCCATCTCTCATTCCCGGTTTCCTCTTGCTGACTGTATCGTGGTGTGGCTTCATTTCTCAGAGAAGAGCCGTGAAAAGACTCAAGCATCTTCTCTGACGTGGGTCCGCTGCTCTCCTGTAGGACAAAGAGCTCCTGTGGGATTCTTCTCCTCGTCTGCAGTGTGTTCGTTTTGATGCTAGAAAAGAGGCCGCTCAGGATGGGGATGAGACTTCAATTGCTCCGACGCATCTCCTCACGTGGGCCAGGCCTTCACAGAGCCAAAGCGGATCCACAGCAGCAAAAACGATTGACAACCGGCCTCATGACCCAGGCAGAGAGCAGAAAGAGGCTCAACAAAGACAGGCCGCCATGCGAAAAACCGCTTTGTGGCACACAGGGCACCTCCAGCCAAAAACACACACGCACACGGGCATGCACACACAAACCCACAGAGAGAGGGAAAGAAGCACACAGAGACTGAGAGAGGGAGAGAGAAGAGAGAATGGGAGACACACACATACACACACACACAGAGTCATACAGCAGAGGAATTGAAACACACACCACCAGGCAATCCCTGAGGCTGCGGAGTACTCCTCACGACAAGAACGACCCTCGGGTGAGAGAGCAGCCCAGGGTCACGCAGGCCGACCTGTCCTCGAGATCTCGGATGGCGGCACGACTTTTGGGGAGACCCACCCAACCAACACCATCCGGGCAGGCCTGAGGCTGGGATCCTGTGCTGCTTCCGCCGTACCCCCCTGGGGCTTCCTCATCCTGGTCGGCCCTTTGTGACTCCTGGAATCCGGAGACGTTCACGTCGACCCCGTGGAGAGGTCAGGCCGGAGCCTCACAGCCCCGACACCCAAGCACTGCCACGGAGGGCTCCTGCTTTGCCAAGCCTCGGGGACTGGTTTCTAAGACAACCGAAGGAACCACTGTGAAGGGAGAAGCCACTAGAGCCTCGCGCATGCGCATTGGCTGGGACGACTCGCGCTCAGCTCCTGGCAGTCAGGCTACGTCCCCTTTAAATATCGCCACTGTCGCCTGGCGGCCGCGATGCTCCTGCTGCCGCCATGGCGGCAGCTGGATCCTGGGTCCTGTTTGGGGTGGCGTGGGAGAGGGGGCCGCAGGAGTCTCGTCCTTTCCCAGGCCCAAACCCCCAGGGGTCCTGTCCTCAGGACCTGCTTGAGCCCACTTCCACCGATGGAGGGATGGAGGGGGAGCTTCAGGACTCCTGCTGTGTTCTCCGGACTCCCGTTGAGATCCGATTTTGGCCCCCTCCGAGTGAGATAGGATGGGCTCACAAAAACTGGTGAGGCCGGCAGGGCCTCGCTGCAGCACAGAATGATCTCATAATTCTCAAGGCCTAGAGTCAGCTGAAAATTCACTGATCCATCAGCCCTCTGCCTCCCTCCTCCTTTGAAAGAGCAGTGGCCTGCCCCACTTCTAAAGGCCCTGGGGTTCCAGAAAGCCGACCACGCTTTACACCACACCTGCAAAGAGGAAAACAGGCGAATCCGAGGGGGAGACCATGTGACCACGCGTGGCACTGGCCAATCCCACAGCAGTTGGTGTGAATGCGTCTCACCGGAGGCATACGGGGCGACGGCGAAACAAAGGGTGGGGTCCAGGCATGTGCCAGTGGAAGGGGGAAACGGGTGACCTTTCCATCAATGCCAAGGAAAATCAAAGAACACCTGGGACCCGGGGGTGGGGGGCCGCCTGTGCCTGACCCAAGCCACGTTTTCAAATGTCTACCGGAGGAGCAAAGAGGTTTCTGCAAAATTCGCAACACCCCCAATCCTCCACCGACCTGGTAGCCCTGACGCAACTTCGGCTGGCACAAACGCACAGAGAGTGGGAAAGAAACACACAGAGACTGAGAGACAGAGAGAGAAGAGAGAATGGGAGACACACACACACACACACACACACACACACACACACGCAGAGTCATACAGCAGAGGCATTGAAACACACACCCCCAGGCAACCCCTGAGGCTGCGGGGTTCTGCTCTGGAGGAGAACGACCCTCGGGTGAGAGAGCAGCCCAGGGGCACGCAGGCCGACCCGTCCTCGAGATCACGGACGGCGGCACGACTTTTAGGGAGACTCACCCCAACCAACACCGTCCGTGCAGGCCTGAGGCTGGGATCCCGTGCTGCTTCCCCCGTCTCTGCCTGGGGTTTCATCATCATGGTCGGCCCTTTGCGACTCCTGGCATCCGGAGACGTTCCCTTCGACCCCGTGGAGAGGTGAGGCCGGAGCCTCAGAGCCTCGACACCCAAGCACTGCCACCGAGGGCTCCTGCTCTGCCAAGCCTCGGGGTCTGGTTTCTAAGACAACCGTGGGAACCACTGTGACGGGAGAAACCGCTCGCGCCTCGCGCATGCGCATTGGCTGAGCCGACTCGCGCTCCGCTCCTGACAGATAGGCTGCGTCCCCTTTAAATATCGCTGCCGCCGCGGCGGCGGCTGGATCCTGGGTCCTGTTTGGGGCGGCGTGGGAGAGGGGGCCGCGGGTGTCTCGTCCTGTCCCAGGCCCAAACCCCCAGGGGTCCTGTCCTCAGGATCTGCTTGAGCCGACTTCCACCGAGGGAGGGGGAGCTTCAGGACGCCTGCTGTGTTCTCCGGACTCCCGTTGAGATCCGATTCTGGCCCCCTCCCACTGAGATAGGATGGGCTCACCACATCTGGAGAGGCCGGCAGGGCCTCGCTGCAGCACACAATGATCCCATAGGTCTCAAGGCCTAGCGTCAGCTGCAAATTCACTGATCCATCAGCCCTCTGCCTCCCACCTCCTTTGAAATATCAGTGGCTTGCCCCGCTTCTAAAAGCCCAGGGGCTCCGGAAAGCCGACCGCGCTTTACAGGACACGTGCCACCAGGAACAGGGGCGAATCCGAGGTGGAGACCGTGTGACCACGCGTGGCACTGGCCTACCCCACAGCAGATGGTGTGGATGTGTGTCGCCGGAGGCATACGGGGCGACGGCGAAACAAAGGGTGGTGTCCAGGCATGTGCTGGTGGAAGGGGGAAACGAGTGACCTTTCCATCAATGCCAAGGAAAGTCGAAGAACACCTGGGGCTCGGGGGGTGCGGGTCGAGATGGGGGGCTGTGCCTGACCCAAGCCACGTTTTCACATGCCTACCAGAGGAGCAAAGAGGTTTTGGCAAAAATCGCCCCACCCCCAAGCCTCCATCGCCCTGGTAGCCCTGACGCAACTTCGGCTGCACCCAGCCCCAGCCCCATCCCCAGCCCCAGCCCCAGCCCAGTCCCTTTGGTTTCCTGACATTTGTTTCGTCCAGAAGATCAAGGGAGTCAGGCCACCCAGGAGCAGAGGAGAGGATGTCCCTCAAGAATGAGACAGGAAGTGCAAAGGAAATGGGACACCACCTGTCCTGGAAGTCAAGGCCAGTCACGGTCGCCTAGCGCTCATTCTAGGCAATCCACCCACCCATGAGGGGAAACGTGGGGAAGAAGGAAGCTTCCCTGCCTGAGACACGTATGGAAGCCAAGAGCTCTCGGCTCATGATACCTGCCCAATTAAGCAGAAACACGTTTGGAGAGAGAAACGATCATGACACGGATCTCCAGGAAGTGTCTCCCTGACGGACTGGGAAGTCATCTTTTTTGAAGGCATTTGGCCAGAGCGAGAGGCATCCAGGCCCCTGAGAAACAGGGGAGGCAGAGCCAGAGGGAGGAGAGAGTAGAGGCCAGAGCCCAGGCAGGATACAGCACCGTGCCACCGCCACAGACATAAGGGGTGGGGTTCCTAAAGGGTGGCTTGTCCAGGGAGGCCAGCGTTCCAGTGACAGGGACTGTTGCCATCTCCCATTCCCGGCTTCCTCTTGCTGACTGTATCGTGGTGTGGCTTCATTTCTCAGAGAAGAGCCGTGAAAAGATACAAGCATCTTCTCTGGCGTGGATCCGCTGCTCTCCTGTGGGACAAAGAGTTCCTCTGGGGCTCTTGTTCTCGGCTGCAGTGTACTCATCTTGATCCTAGAAAAGAGGCCACTCAGGATGGGGATGAGATTTCAGTTGCTCCGGGAGCGACGCATCTCCTCACGTGGGCCAGGCTTTCAGGCACCCAAAGCGGATCCGCCGCGGCGAAAACGATTGACAGCCGGCCTCATGACCCAGGTAGAGACGCAGAAAGAGGCTCACCAAAGACAGGCCGCCATGCGACAAACCGCTTTGTGGCGCACAGGGCACATTCGGCCAAAGACACACACGCACACGGGCATACACACACAAACCCACAGAGAGAGGGAAAGAAACACACAGAGACTGAGAGACAGAGAGAGAAGAGAGACTGGGAGACACACACACAGACACACACACACACACTCACACACACACACACACACACACACACAGAGACACACACACAGCGTCATACAGCAGAGGCATTGAAACACACACCACCAGGCAACCCCTGAGGCTGCGGGGTTCTGCTCACGACGAGAACGACTCTCGGGTGAGAGAGCAGCCCAGGGGCACGCAGGCCGACCTGTCCTCGAGATCACGGATGGCGGCACGACTTTTGGGGAGACTCACCCCAACCAACACCGTCCGGGCAGGCCTGAGGCTGGGATCCCGTGCTGCTTCCCCCGTCCCCGCCTGGGGTTTCCTCATCGTGGTCGGCCCTTTGCGACTCCTGGCATCCGGAGACGTTCCCGTCGACCCCGTGGAGAGGTGAGGCCGGATCCTCAGAGCCCCGACACCCAAGCACTGCCACAGAGGGCTCCTGCTTTGCCAAGCCTCGGGGACTGGTTTCTAAGACAACCATGGGAACCACTGTGACGGGAGAAACCGCTCGCGCCTCGCGCATGCGCATTGGCTGAGCCGACTCGCGCTCCGCTCCTGGCAGTATGGCTGCGTCCCCTTTAAATACCGCCACCGCCGCGCGGCGGCAGCGAGGTTCCTCCTGCCGCCACGGCGGCGGCTGGATCCGGGGTCCAGTTTGGGGCGGCGTGGGAGAGGGGGCCGCGGGTGTCTTGTCCTGTCCCAGGGCCAAACCCCTAGGAGTCCTGTCCTCAGGACCTCCTTGAGCCGACTTCCACGGAGGGAGGTGGAGCTTCAAGATGCCTGCTGTGTTCTCCAGACTCCCGTTCAGATCCGATTTTGGACCCCTCCGAGTGAGATAGGATAGGCTCACCACATCTGGTGAGGCAGGCAGGGCCTTGCTGCAACACAGAATGATCCCGTAGGTCTCAAGGCCTACTTGTACTGTTGTACATAATGTATATAATTGACTTTTATTCACTCGACAAAATTTCCTAAAAATACATCCAAATGATTGCATTAATTAATATTTTGTTCCTTTGATGACTGAGTAGTATTTCATGGTTTCTGGTATAAATTCACCACAAATTAAACATTCACCTGGGCTTATTGACCTTTTCAACTGTAACAAATTAAGCTGTTGTAGACATTCGTGAACAAGTTTTTGTGGGACCACAGTTTCATCACTCCAAATTAAACACCCACAACTGCAATTGCTGGGATCTATGGTCTATGCATATCTGGTTTTTATTTTACTTTAAAAAATTTTTAATTATTTTCTTAAAATTTTATGGGTACACTGAGTGCCCACAGAAGCTAGTAAGGATACTGGGGCATTGGAGAGGAGGTAGAGAAGGTTAATCAGCACACACAGAAAAAAAATGTGGAAAGAATGAATAACATATCTGTCTTTTTAAAAAACTGTCAGCTATTTTTCAGAGTGGCTCTATTATTTTACTTTTCCACTAGCAACTTATGAGTGATCGTATTTTTTACATCCTGAATAGCTTTTGCTATTGTCACAATTTTTAAAAGTCATTTTGATAGGTGTGTAGAAATATCTCACTATGGTTTTATTTGACATGTCCATGATGATTAATAATATTGAACATGTTTCATGGATTATTTGACATCTGAATATTTTTCTTGTTAAAACGTCCATTGATGTCTTTTGTCCATTACCTAATTGGATCATTTGCATTTTTTAAAAAATTTGCTGTTGTGTTTTGTGTCATCTCTATTTATTTTTGTCGGTTTTGATAGATGTTTATCAATTGATTGATTTTTTCAATAAACCAGCTTTTTGTTTCACATTTTTTTCTGTTTTCAATTTCATGAATTTTTGTTATTGTGATGATTATTTTTCTTCTTCTGCCTGCTTTCAGTTTACTCTGTTCTTTTTCTAGTTTCTTGAGATACAAGTGTAAGTTATTGATTTGAGATCTTTTCTTATTTTTAATGAAGCATTTAGTACTATAAATTTCTTTCCCACCACAGCCTTAGCTGTATTTCCTATATTTTGATATGTTGTATTTTCTTTCATTTGTTGAAATATATTTTTAGATTTTTATTTAAGACTTTATATTTAATCCATAGATCATTTGGAACTGTGTTGCATAATTGAAATGCATTTAAACATTTTCCTGCTCTCTTTCTGTTACTGACTTTTATTTTAATTCCACTATGGTCAGAGAACATACTCTATATGACATAAATTCTTTTAAATGTATCAGGGTTTGTTTTATGGTGCAAGAAATCATCTAGTATTTTAGTTAATATTTCATGAGCTCCTGAAAAACTGTATATTCTGCTGTTTTTTGTGGACTGATTCTATATTTAGAGAGAGATATATATATAATTGACATATATTTATCTGTATATGTGTGTCTGTGTGTGTGTGTGTGTGTGAGTTTGTGTGTGTGAATAAAATCTTGTTGGTTGATTGTGCTGTACAGATCTTCTACATGCTTGCTGATTGTCAAATTTTTGTCCAATAATTCTATCAATTGCTGAGATAAGGCTGTTAAAACCCACAACTATAATTTATTATTTTTTAGTTCTATAATTTTTCTCTTCATGTTGTTTAAGACTTTGTTATTTGGTGCATATATATTTGGAATTGTTATGTTTACTGGTGAATTGATCCATTTATTATTAGTGTTGCAGTCTCCTCACTCCTTAATTTAGTGAGGTCCAAGATCTTGTCCCACAACCAAGAGAATAAGGCACACAAATACCAGAGAGTGAGTAAGGCAAATTAACATTCATTAAGCAACAGAAAAGCTCTCAGCAGCAAGAGTGGACCCAAACAAGGGTTGCCAGAAATGGGGCTGAGTTCTGATCCCTTTATGTGACAGAAACAAGGAAGTCCTTTGTGGGTCCTGCCTTAATGGAAGGGGTAAAATTCCCTGCTGGGAGTGTTCTGTCTGTGCATACCTAGGTTTGGCAGCAGTGACTCCATCTTGATTATTAGTCATAAGTGCCTAAGCAAAATTCATGGGGGCACCAAAACTGCAATGCTAATGATATTACAATTAGCTCTGGGTCAAGTTAAGGACATTTAGTTGATTTATTGAAACATAATTGGGACAGTCCCTTCTGAGAGACATCTTGGTATAAGAGGAAGTTGTTAACCACATTTCCACATTCTAGCTACACCACAAAGGTAGTGCAGGTGCATTCCCATGGGTGCTGTCTTTCTCCCAAGACCCTTCCTCTCTATCTGCCTAGCCAGCCTCTAACTGCCTCCTCTGTTGTTAGTAATGTTCTTTGTAAGATTTTTTGAATCTAACTTCTAGATTATCAGATATTAATATAGCCACTTTTGCCCTTTTATTGATAAATATTTCCATGGTATGTATTTTTATATTATTTTACTTTCAACATACTGATACTATTGAATTAAAGTGTATTTCTTACTATAGCAATAGTTAAGGTTGCATTTTTTAATTTATTCAGCTAATTTCTCTTTTGATTGGTGTATTTATGTCACTTATATTTAATGTAATTATTAATGTACTAACACCTAAGCATTTCATTTTATTATTTACTACATATTCATTTGTTTTGTTCTCATTTTTCAGTTTTCCTTTTTTTTTGGACTTACTGTGTGCTACTCGAGCTTTCATGTTGCTTTACTTACAATGTTTGAATACATCTACAATATACAATCTTTGCTTTGGAAATTTGTATATACTTTTTATGCTACTCTTCATATTTTAATACCTGATTTAATATCCGATTTATAAAACAATATATAAATACCAATGGTTTTACACTTTTGATTAAAGCAAGGAAGCTCAGCTTATATTTATTTTCCTTTATCTTCTATACTTTTAAGTATCACTTCCTTTAGTATCAAGTGGAGTTATAATTTTTGTTTCTATCATCAACTATGATTTATAATACTCACTAGGAAAACACATCTATTGGATGTATTCATATTTCTGCTAATTCTATTAATATATCTTCCTTCTTTCTTGATGTTCAAAATTCCTTTTTTTTCTTTATTTTGTTTGAATAACAGTTTTAGTAAACATTTAATGGTAAGCTTGCTAACAACAACTTTTTAAACAGTTCAAAAAATATAATTTTCCTTTACTCCAGAAGCATAGTTACAACATCTGTAGCATTCAGAGTTGGCAGCTCTTTTCTTTCACTACCTGAAAAATATTGTGTAACTTGTTTCTGACCTCCATTGTTTCAGACGAAAAAACGTATTTTCATTTACATTGGTTTTCCTCTATAGGTGATGTTTCACCTATAGGTGACTGTTTCTATCTGGCTGCCTTTAAGACTTTGTCTTTAGTTTTGTCAACAACCTACATTGGGGAAAGGACACAATCTCCAATACATGCTTCTGGAAAAATTGGATATCCATATGCAGAAGAATGAAACTAAACTCCTATCACTCACCTTATACAAAAATAAACTCAAAATGGATTAAAAATTTAAATGTAAGACATGAAAAATTAGACTACCATACACTGTTGGTGGTAAGTTAAATTATTTCACTTATTATGAAAAACTGTATGGTGGTTTCTCAAAACAAAAATAGAGACACCATATGATCTAGTGATCCCACTACTAGGTGTTTATCCAAAGGAAAGGAAATCATTACACTTAAGAGGTATCTGCACCTCCATATTTATTGCAGCTGTCTTCACAATAACCAAGATATGGAATTAAGCTAAATATCCATCAATGGATGGATAAAAAATGTGGTATATACATATACCAAATTTGTATATACATTCATATATATATATATGAATAATATTCTGCCATAAAAAGAATGAAATTCTGTCATTTGCAGAATCATGGATAAGACTAGCGAACATTATGTTAAGTGGAATAAGTCAGACACAGAAAAATTAATACTGTCTGTCCTTACCCATATGCAGGAGCTAAACAAATTTGAGCTCATTAAAGTAAATGGTAGAATTGTGGTTATTAGATGTTGGGAAGGATGTGGGAGCAGAGGTTGGTTAATGGACACAAAATTATAGCTATATTGGAGGAATAAGTTCTGTTGTAGTGCTCTATAGCTGGTCACATGGAAATAACTATAATTTATGGTATATTTTCAAAAAGCTAGAAGAGAAGATTTTGAATGTTGTCAACACAAAAGTATGATAAATGTTTGAGGTGTTTGAAATGCTAATTACCCTGATTTGATCATTACGCATTGTACACCTGTATCAAAATATCACTCTGTTTCCATAAATATGTACAATTATTGCATGCCAACTAACAATAAAAGGACAAGATAAAGATTCAAAAAATAGGAAGAAATATCATTTTTCTGATACAATTTCTTCTCGGTGTGCCCATGTTGTTTCATGATTGCAAAGCGTTCTTTTAAGTGCTTTTAAAGTATTGTTTTCATGCTTCTTAAAATTGCTTCCAGAAGTAATGTCAAACTCATTCACCTATAGTTTATGAGATCTATCTTCCTTTAAAAAATTAGTACACTGCCCATTTCTTGTCTTCTAAAACTTTTACTATTCTCCATAATCCTCAAAGATATCTAGAGCAACTTAAAAATCTCTTTCCTAAACTTTCTTATTGTTTTGGAATGAGTTCTACTCCAATACTAGGGCCCAGGGCTCATAGTGCCTCTTCGTTCATCTTGAGATTTAATTAAAAGCAATGTTGAGTCTTCTCTTTTGGATCTAAAGATCTATTTGATGAGAAAGACTGAAGAAAAATAAGGATAAGCGTATTTCCTCCATGTTTTCATGGCACAAAATCTTTGTTTGCTAACTGTGATAAGCAGAATAATGCCCCCCCCACCCCCCACAAGACTGTCCCTGTCCTATTCTCCATGTCAGGAAGGATATGCTATGTAATATAAGAATATATGATGTTACAATGCAAGAAAGTATTAAGGTTGCACATGACATTAAGCTTACTAAACAGCGGAACTTAAAATAAGAGATCATACTTGATTATCTGGGGGGGGGCCAATTTAATCACAAGGATCCTTTAAATGTGGAAGAGTGTGGTAGAAAATATTTAAAGATACTACATTGCTAATTGTACTGGAGGAAAGAACCAAGAGACAAGGAATGGGGAAAGCGGACAAGAGACAAGAAATGAAGACAGCCCCTAGAAGCTGGAAAAGGCAAGAACATGTATTCTCCTTTAGAGTCCCCAGAAGGAAAGCGGTGCTGCTGACACCTTGATTTTAGCCTAATGAAAACCATTTAAGATTTCTGACCTTTATAATTTTAAAGTGGTAGATTTATGTTTCTAAACTACCAAATAAAAATATTTTGTCTTTAGTTTTTAAAAGTTTAATCAAAATATTTCTTGAAATGTGTTTATTCCGTGTAGGGTATCTTAGGCTTCTTGAATCTATACATTTGTGTCTTCTGCAAATTTGAGGTTTTTTTGAAGCACTATTTCTTCAAGTATTCTTTCAGCCTCATTTTACTTTTTTTCTGGTACACGTAATAAAAATGTTGGATCTTTTGTTGTTGCCTCACACATACCTACATCTCTGTTCATTTTATGTATCAGTCTGTTTTATTTATGTTGTTCAAATTGGTTAAATTCTACTATTCTGCCCTCACATTCACTGATTTTACCTTCTCGCATCTCAATGGCACTATTGACTCCATCCAACACATTTTTCATTTCTGTTACAGTGTTTGTTTGCTTTTATAATTTACATTTGGTTCTTTTTTGTTGTTGTTTTTTTACAAATCAAGTTTGGTTAATATTTTGCGATTTTGTTATATATTTTAAGATAATTTCTATTTGATGTTGAAACATTTTTGCTAGATATTTTAAAATCATATTCAGATGATTCCAACATCTGATGCGTTTTGGTGTTGGTGTCAGTTAACTGTCTTTTTTCACTCAAATTGTTATTTTCTTGGTTCTTTGTATGATTGGTGATTTGTAATTATATTCTGGACATTTTGTCTATCATGGCAGAGAATTCTGAGCTCTATTTAAACTGTTCCTTTTGGCAGGCAGTCACACTGTTTAGCTTTAGCATGTACATCCTGGGTGTGGGGCAGGTACACTGTGTACTATTTACTAGCTTGTCTGAGTTCAGTTAAACAGAACACACTCATATGCAACAAATTACATAAAGCAGATGTATCATTTACAGACAAACAGCAAGAGACAACAGGTACCTATGTGAGCCGATCCATTACGAGCCAGTAGCCCAAGGCTCAACAAAGTTGCCTGAAGTGGATGGAATGCATGTGAAGTGCCTGAAGTGGATGGAGTGATTGTGCATGGCCCACTTGTACCACAGTTGAGGGACCCCACAAGACAGCTTGCCCTAGGTTACACACCTCAGGACCAATGGGAAACTATGGCCTAAAGTTTTGAAGAACATTCTCTGTCAAGGGAGAGAGTAACAAGGCCTAGGCTGTTTCAGGCAGTTCTTCCCTGTCTCAGGATATTGCATTCTCAGCATATACTACAGTTGCTCTTGACAACTGCAAGCAAGAAAGAGGGGATAATTGGGTCAGTCCAAGGACACCTGGAAAGTTGACCTGCAGTCTCCTGCTCCAACCAAGATATTTCCCTTAGAAAAGCTGGTGTATTTCATATGCCCATTGACCTCTCCAGATCTGGAGGTGGAGGTTTGTCTTGTCAGATCAATGTAACACCTTGGCTGACTCTGTCTCAGTGAAACATAATTGAGTCATAGCCAGAATACATTTTACTAGTCCCAGGAGGACTACTACCACTAGCAGCACAGCCAGACCTCTCTGCAGTAGTAATTTAGCCCTGGGTCTCAAAGATCTAGGTAAGAGGTTGCCATAGAGGTTAAAGAAGGATTCTTCAGGTGGCCCCACTGTCTACAACCAATGGGTCAGCTTCTGGATCTCCTCTACCTATGTTTCTACAATACCTAAGATGTTTATCCCAATACAGTAAGAGGTGCTGGCAATTGTATACACTTCTCCCAGTTGAGCTAAAAGAAAGTCTGGAGGGCCGAGTGCGGTGACTCATGCCTGTAATCCCAGCACTTTGGGAGGCCAAGATAGGTGGATTACCTGAGGTCAGGAGTTCAAGACCAGCCAGACAAACATGCAGAAACCCTGTCTCTACAAAAAAAAAAAATACAAAATTAGCCAGCAGTGGTGGTGCACGCCTATAATCCCAGCTACTCTGGAGTCTGAGGCAAGAGAATCACTTAGACCCGGGAGGCAGAGGTTGCAGTGAGCTGAGATCATACCACTGCACTCCAGCATGGGCAACGAGAGCGAAACTCCATCTCAAACAAAAAGAGTCTGGAACAATTCTGTTGTTTAAAATAACTTTCTAGGTGGATCTGGGAGATGTTTCCTTGGCTTCTAAGACAGTGGCAATGGAGGAGGCAATATTTGCCATGGTTTGGGACAGGTTTATTTTCATTTTTTTATGAGCAATAACTCCTATGAATGGTACCAAAGATCTCATAAAAGACGTAAACCCAAAGTCAGTTACACATCCAGTCAGGTCTTTGGTAAGTCTGGTATACAGCATTAGGCTCCTGAGTCAATGGAGCACTTCATTTTGGGGGTGAATTCTAGGAGCATCCCTAGCACACTCAATGGGGCAGGACCTGTAAGTTTTCCAGGCATGACTTTGCCCACCCTGCATTTCAGTCACCCCAGATTGCCCACAGATAAAGATGTAGCCCTCTGGCACACACAGACCCCCTGTGCTAGTATTATTTATGAGGATGAAGGTATTGGCACTCACTAGCTAAGTCTCATTGATGGCAGTAGTTGCCTGAGTTTTCATCATACATTTTACCCCATACAATCCTAAAGCCTCTATGCAGAGGGCTAGCACTCTCCGATACTTGTTCTCTTCATCATCATGAGCACACATCTTTGTAATTAAAGGAGCCTGGTGCATCAAAGCACCTGCCCACCAAAGATTCATTAGTTGTGGTCATGACATTTTTCCACAAAGTTATTTAAGTTAAAAGATAGCACCTTTGAATTCTTCCTATGTGGCATGTGCTAGGTCCTCACTCAGTAAGCTAGGACTTAGGGTCCATTACTGTACTCTGTGGCATTAGGAGTGCTGGAGTAGTTAACCACAGGCAAGATGAAAGGATCGTTCTAGTCAATGAGAGAACGAGGTCGTGGATGGAGCATCCAGCACTTTGTCAGGTTACCCATGGTGTAACCATGGCACTTTGGAAGAGGCCACTAAGGCATTATGCTCACAGGCCTATAATGCCCCATCCATGTGGAAAAGCAGACTGACAGTTTAATGCCCACCTCTCACCCTTTCCAGGGTCTCAGATGTTCTCTACCTATTGAATAAGAATTAGGCTGAGTTGGTATAGCAACCCGGTCTGTCTGTTTTAGTCCCAAGCTACTTCTGCAGACATCCATTGCCCTTGTTGCTTGACTCAAACCTTTCTGCCTCAATCATCCACTCCAGTACAAAGCTGGCATATCTCATAACATCATCCACCCAAATGGAAGGATCAGAGGCATCCAGCATCATTAGAGGGATTCTAGCAGTCTGTCATTCCTTAGTCCTGTCCCCGACCCCTGTGGAATCCCCTTATAGGGGAGGTACCCAAGGGAAGTATAAACTCCAGATTAGAGACAGGGTGGCCTCTCTGGGGTACTATGGCACCCTGAACTGCAATTCATCCCCAGGACATGTACTCTATAGGGGAAAAGGAAAAAGAATGGTTGAGAACACAGACTGAGACTTTACAGGCACAGACAGCCTAGTCAGGTGGGTTTCTCATCCACCTCCAACCCAACCAAGCTCAGTGTCCCTCAATATGCACTGCAGTGCTGTTTCCTTTGCATTGGTGCATAGTGTTTAGTGTCCCTATTGCCCTAGTCAGATGGGCTACCCCCTCACTAGCAGGACATCTTGATGTTCTTTCTTCAGTTGCTTTGTGAGTTCCATTATTCAATAACTCTATTGGCCTGAGGATGACAATGTACTTAAAAAGCCCATCTTTTTTCACTAATGTGTACCCATTATCTAGTTGCTTGAATAGTAAAAAATATTCCTTGGTCCAAGTAAAATCCCATGGGCTATGTAAAAGGATGGCATAAATTCCTCTCAAGTGTGGCTATAGTTGCCTCAGCACCCATATGATTGACATATATTTGTCTTTTTCAGACAACAAGCTGTTTTTCTTAGTCCTTGTTCTCACATGGATATCCTCTAACAGTCCAATCCTTCCATTGCCATTGTCCTGATCAGATGGCCAGGCTTTTGGCAATGGCCCATAAGTCACTGAAAATATAGCAAGATACGCGATAGAGGTAGCCTGCATGGCCATCACCACTGCATTTAGTTTGGCCCGTTGGGTAGAATGCCCATGTCCAGTCTCAGTCAAAAGATAGCCAACCACTGGCTGAATGGTGGTCCAGTGCATGTCGTCTGGCAGAGCTATCAGTAAACCATGCCTGTCAGGCCTCTGAGCCCAAGCTAAGCCATCATATCCCCTGTGACCTGCACGTATACATCCAGGTGGCCTGAAGCAAGTGAAGAATCACAGAAGAAGTGAAAATGGCTGGTTCCTGCCTTAACTGATGACATTACTTTGTGAAATTCCTTCTCCTGGCTCAGAAGCTCCCCCACTGAGCACCTTGTGACCCCCGCCCCTGCCCGCCAGAGAACAATCCTCTTTGACTATACTTTTCCACTACCTACTCAAATCCTATAAAACGGCCCCACCCCTATCTCCCTTCACTGACTTTCTTTTCAGACTCAGCCCGCCTGCACCCAGGTGAAATAAACAGCCTTATTGCTCATGCAGTGTCTGTTTGGTGGTCTCTTCACATGGACGTGTGTGACATTTGGTGCCTGTTATCACTCCCCTGCTACAGCATGGGCTTGTAAAACCTGTAAACTCTCCTTACAATTCTCCCATTTTACCTATTCAAACTCCAGACAAGTCTTACATGTTAGTTCAGGATCTGCTCTGGCCATCATGTCTCCGTGCAGCAGTTGCCATCACCCTAATGCTTTTAGAGGCCCTAAAAATCACAAACTATGCTCAACTCACTCTCTACATTTCTCATAACTTCCAAAATCTATTTTCTTCCTCACACCTGACGCATATACTTTCTGCTCCCTGGCTCCTTCAGCTGTACTCACTCTTTGTTGAGTCTCCCACAATTACCGTTTTTCCTGGCCCGGACTTCAATCTGGCCTCCCACATTATTCCGGATATCACACCTGACCTCCATGGCTGTATCTCTCTGATCCACCTGACATTCACTCCGTTTCCCATATTTCCTTCTTTCCTGTTCCTCACCCTGATCACACTTGGTTTATCAATGGCAGTTCCACCAGGCCTAATTGCCACTCACCAGCAAAGGCAGGCTATGCTATAGTATCTTCCACATCTATCATTGAGGCTACCGCTCTGCCCCACTCCCCTACCTCTCAGCAAGCCAAATTCATTGCCTTAACTCGAGCGTCACTCTTGCAAAGGGACTACACATCAATATTTAAACTGACTCTAAATATGCCTTCCATATCCTACGCCACCATACCATTATATGGGCAGAAAGAGGTTTCCTCACTGCGCAAGGGTCCTCCATCATTAATGCCTCTTTAATAAAAGCTCTTCTCAAGGCCACTTTACTTCCAAAGGAAGCTGGAGTCATTCACTGCAAAGGCCATCAAAAGGCATCAGATCCCATTGCTCAGGGCAATGCTTATGCTGATAAAATAGCTAAAGAAGCAGCTAGCATTCCAACTTCTGTCCCTCACGGCCAGTTTTTCTCCTTCTAATCGGTCACTCCCACCTACTCACCGACTGAAACTTCCACCTATCAATCTCTTCCCACACAAGGCAAATGGTTCTTTGACCAAGGAAAATATCTCCTTCCAGCCTCACAGGCCCATTCTATTCTGTTGTCATTGCATAACCTCTTCCATGTAGGTTACGAGCTGCTAGCCCACCTCTTAGAACCTCTCATTTCCTTTCCATTGTGGAAATCTATCCTCAAAAAATCACTTCTCAGTGTTCCATCTGCTATTCTACTACTCCTCAGGGATTATTCAGGCCCCCTCTCTTCCCTACACATCAAGCTCAGGGATTTGCCCCCACCCAGGACTGGCAAATTGACTTCACTCACATGCTCTGAGTCAGGAAACTAAAATACCTCTTGGTCTGGGTAGACACTTTCACTGGATGGGTAGAGGCCTTTCCCGCAGGGTCTGAGAAAGCCACCACGATGATTTCTTCCCTTCTGTCAGACATAATTCTTTGGTTTGGCCTTCCCTCCTCTATACAGTCTGATAACGGACCAGCTTTTATTAGTCAAATCACCCAAGCAGTTTCTTAGGCTCTTGGTATTCAGTAAAACCTTTATAGCCCTTACCATCCTGAATCTTCAGGAATGGTAGGACGGACAAATTGTCTTTTAAAAACACACCTCACCAAGCTCAGCCTCCAACTTAAAACTTAAAAAAGAGGACTCTGTCAAGGATAGAGCCCCAAAACTCACCAACCAAACAAGTAATTATGCTGAACCCCCTTGAGCACTCTCTAATTGGATGTCCTTGGTCCTCCCAATTCTTAGTCATTTAATACCTGTTTTTCTCCTTCACTTATTCAGACCTTGTGTCTTCCGTTTAGTTTCTCAATTCATACAAAACTGCATCCAGGCCATTACCAATCATTCCATATGACAAATGCTCCTCTTAACAACCCCACAGTTTCACCCCTTACCACAAAATCTTCCTTCAGCTTAATCTCTCCCACTCTAGGTTCCCATGCCTCCCCTAATCCCACTCGAAGCAGCCCTGAGAAACATCACCCATTATCTCTCCATAGCACCCCCCAAAATTTTCACCACCCCAACACTTCAACACTATTTTGTTTTATTTTTCTTTTTAATATAAGAAGACAGGAATGTCAGGCCTCTGAGCCCAAGCTAAGCCATCGTATCTCCTGTGACCTGCACGTATACATCCAGATGGCCTGAAACAAGTGAAGAATCAAAAGAAGTGAAAATGGCTGGCTCCTGCCTTAACTGATGACATTACTTTGTGAAATTCCTTCTCCTGGCTCAGAAGCTCCCCCACTGAGCACCTTGTGACCCCCACCCCTGCCTGCCAGAGAATAACCCCCTTTGACTGTAATTTTCCACTACCTACCCAAATCCTATAAAACGGCCCCACCCCATCTTCCTTCACTGACTCTCTTTTTGGACTCAGCCTGCCTGCACCCAGGTGAAATAAACAGTCTTGTTGCTCACAAAAAACCTGTTTGGTAGTCTCTTCACACTGATGCACTGATGCATGACAATGCCATGCTGTCAGTAAGCATGTCTATGAGTCCTGGGCCCCAGGTTGCCACAGGAGAATCCAATGGATCCTTACAGGCTGCTTAAAAGGGATAGTTTGTTGTAGTCCTGAATTAATAAAGTAATGTCCTATTCTCCACTTACCATGTAGTACTGCTTTTGTTAAATAATCCACTGGGGCTTGGGTAGTTTAGGTGGCAGGCAGGATATGCCCCACTGTTATGGCTTGAATTCTGAGTTGTCAAAGAGTATGTCCCCTCAGGCAATGGTGATTTTTGTGCTACAAGAAGGCGGGGGGTCAATACCAATAATGCACTCACAAGTGAGAACCATGGTCACTGACATCCAATATGGACCAAAGCCATATCACAGGTAGATAAGCACTACTGGTCAATGCATTCATTCTAAAACCTTCCAGTGTCACCAGTTTTTCTCCCTAAGAGGACCTGGAAGTATTATGTGGACTCCTGTATCAAAAAAAAAAGTCTGAATTTCTTTCTTTTCTCCTCTTACCTTGACAGAAATATAAGGCCTTTGGCCTCCATTTGGGGACCCCGAGAACTTGGTCCCATTTCTGACTCTGCCATTCAGCCCAAGACATTGGATTTGCAATGTCCTTTCATCAAAGAAACATGCCTGGCCTTTCTCTATATCTGTCCTTTAGATAATGAGTCTCCCTTTCTGTGAAGGCCTTTATCACATGTATTGATTCCTTCTCAGATGCCTCAAGGAAGATCTGAGGACCCCTTTCTTCTTTCCCTCTCAGGTGCCTTAGTGTCTGGTTGAGTACACACTTCCCTCACTCTCTGCCCCCATGAATGACAGGGTAATTAAATAAATATCCCCAACCAAGGGACCTATGCTCCTCTATTCCCTCATTGCCTTTTGTTTGCCTTGATCCATGCAGCCATCTCATTCACATCTGTGGGAAGTGGCAGACCTAAATCCGACTTATCACCCTTCCTTCCTCTGAAAATATTCAATCCCCATGCCCCCAGGCTGCTGTCTTTCCCCTGGGCTGGGTACTAGGAAGTATCACCCCTCCTGCTTCTCAAATAAGCTATGATTACATTAGATGGGGCCCTGCTTGCTGGACGCATTTTGTGGATTAGGTTTACTGTGTGCTGCTTACCAGCTTGTCTGAGTGCAGGAGACAGAATACACTCATATGCAACAAGTTACACAAAGCAGATTTGTGACTTACAGGTAGGCAGCAAGGGACAAAAGAATGCTAGGATCTATGATGAGCTCGTTCCTGAAGACTCAAGAAAGCTGTCTAGGGCACATCGAGTCTCAGCTGTGCATTCCCCACTTGCACCACAGCTGAGGGGCTTTTTTTTTTTTTTTTTTTTTTCGAGATGGAGCTTGGTTCTTGTTGCCCAGGCTGAAGTTCAATGGCACGGTCTCGGCTCACTGCAACCTCTGCCTCCTGGGTTCAAGCGATTCTGGTGCCTCAGCCTCCCAAGTAGCTGGGATTACAGGCGCCTGCCACCACGCTAAGTTTTTTGTATTTTTAGTAGAGACGGGGTTTCACAATGTTGGCCAGGCTGGTCTTGAATTCCTGACCTCAGGTGATCCACCCACCTTGGCCTCCTGAAGTGCTGGGATTACAAGGCATGAGCCACCACGCCCAGCCAGGACTCTTTAAGACAGCCTGTTCAGGGTTATATACCTCAGAGCCAATGTGAAACATTGACTTAAAGCTTTGAGGGACATCCTGCTTCCAGAGGAAAGAGCAACAGGCCCAGGCTAGTCCAGTCAGCCCCTCCTTATCTCACCATAATGTATTCCCAGCACAATCTACAGTAATTATTAAGACCTACAAGGAAGAAAGGGAAGAGAACTGGGTCAATCCAAGGCCACATGGAGAACTGTCCTGCACTGGCCAATTGTTTTGGCTGTAGTTTCAATACCAAGTTAATGTTTAGAGCTTTTGCATTGTGATTTCAGACTCTTTGATTAATATGGTGCTGCTGGGAATTCCACTGCTCCCTGTTAGTGCTGCCTATGGCAGTGGAAGCAGTTTCTCCAGGTTAGGCTACCAGGTGTCTGAGGTATGTGGTGAGGGGTGTGGTAGAATCCCCCAACCAATGTCCCCTGGCTACTCTGGGGTCATTGGGAAGAGAGTCTTAGGCCTGCAGGGACAAAGCAGCTTCTTAGGCCAGGCCACTTTCTCTACTAGGTCCCTCTTCCTGATTCTATTTTCCCACCTTTGTGCTTCCTGGTAGAAAAGGAAGCCTCAAGCTGTACTGGGAAGGAGAGCACCTCTCTTAGCATTTCTCCTAGCTGCTTCTCCTGGATGGTGGTGGGTGTCTCAAGCTAGTGGCTCCTGATTGATCCAAGGGAGGAAGGAGCTTACTTGAGGTATCTTCTGTTGCTAGATTGGGGGATTAGGAAAAATAAGTCTGAAGGCCTTCTTCAGGACTTCAGGATACACAAGATGCCTTGCTGTTGTGCTGTTTCACCATTCCTTGCATATCAAACTAACTCTTCTTCTGTTTACCTCCATCTCATAGAGCTTTTTCATGTTAGTCACATGTGTCATTTTCAAAATATACAGTTGTGCATAACAAAAAGAGGCGGGAAAAACATGGATCTGTGCCATATTGTCTGAATCCGAAGTTCCTTGCATACTTTATATTAAATAAGCTTTATCTGTGAGCTATATTACTAGTATTTTCTTTGCCTATAATTGTTTCAGGTGTCACATTTAAGAGTTTGCTTGATTATGATATTTAAATATTACAGAATGTATTTGCAGAATATATTTGCAGAATAACAATATTCTGCAAATAATGCCCTTGATATTAAAATTGAAAATCACTTTTCGTAATAGATCAAGGAAATTAGAACCTAATGATTTAATGGTGTACACAATTGCAGCATTAGTTTTCTATTCAAAGCAACATAAAATAAATGACAAATTGAAAGAAAAATAGGACTTTATTTACTCTATTCAAATATTAAAATAAATAATAATATGTCTATTGAAATGTCATAATCAGGATATCATTTATTCCAATTAATTGATTAAATATGTAATCAGTTAAATGTCATAGATTTTATTTTTATTTTTATAGAGGGAAGATGTCATTCTGTCACCAGGCTGGAGTACAGTAGCTGGATCATAACTCACTATAACCTCAAAAAAGCCTCCCAAGTATCTGGGATTACAGGTGTGAGCCACCACGATAGGCTAATTAAATTTTTTAATTTTCTATAGAGATGAGGCTCTCCCTGTTACCCAGGCTTGTCTTGAACTCCTGGGCTCAAGGGATCCTCCCACCTCAGCCTCCCAAAGTGATAGGATTACAGGTATAAGCCATCATGCCTGGCCCTAGAATTTTTAAATTAATGGTGGTTGATACACATATTTACATTGTATTTTAGCCAGATTTACTGAGGTATAATTTACTTATGCAAAATTTACTAATTTATTTATTTATTTATTTATTTATTTTTTGAGACAGAGTCTGTCTCTGTTGCTCAGGCTGGAGTGCAGCAGCGCAATCTCGGCTCACTGCAAGCTCCGCCTCCTGGGTTCACGCCATTCTCCTGCCTCAGCCTCCTGAGTAGCTGGGACTACAGGCGCCTGCCACCATGCCCGGCTAATTTTTTTTGTATTTTGAGTAGAGATGGGGTTTCACCATGTTAACCAGGATGGTCTCAACCTCCTGACCTTGTGATCCGCCCGCCTCGGCCTCCCAAAGTGCTGGGATTACAGGCGTGAGCCACTGCGCCCGGCCGAATATTTCCATTATAGCATATACTCGAATGCATCTTAAAGTATTTATAAAGGTAATACTCATTGTATTTACTTATATGACTTTTTAATTAGATTATAAAATCCAGTTACCTTTTAGTATGCTCAAAATTGTGTCAAATAATATTAATTCTTGAGTTAATTATGCATTATAAATTATTGTCTCTTAATAAAATTTCACGTACACTTTCACTCTGTAAAGCTGGAATGCATGTGGAGTTGCTTCAATTTTTCTTTTTTGTTTGTTTGTTTGTTTGTTTGTTTGTTTGTTTGAGACAGAGTCTCGCTCTGTCGCCCAGGCTGGAGTGCAGTGGTGGGATCTCGGCTCACTGCAAGCTCCGCCTCCTGGGTTCACGCCATTCTCCTGCCTCAGCCTCCTGAGTAGCTGGGACTACAGGCGCCCACCATCGCGCCCAGCTAATTTTTTGTACTTTTAGTAGAGACGGGGTTTCACCATGGTCTCGATCTCCTGACCTCGTGATCCACTCGCCTCGGCCTCCCAAAGTGCTGGGATTACAGGTGTGAGCCACCGCGCCCGGCCTCAATTTTTCAATTGTATTTTCACTTTTCTCTTTTTATGCCTACCTAAATTTGCTCCTATAATTGAATTTATCATTTAGGAGTGAACTTTTGTTTAAGAAAATGTAATCTTTTTCATCAGCATACTCAATATTCCAATTTTCCATTATAGATTATAAGAATAAATCTTTAGGTAATATAGGCAAACAAAATTTAATATATAGAATTAGTTTCTTACACGATTGGAGAGTTGGTGGAGCAGGTCTTGGGCTGATCTTCTAAATGATTGCTAGAACTCCTCCAGAAAAACGACAGAGCTGGGACTGTTGCTCCTTTTGCCATGACTGAGAAGCTGGAGAATCAGGATCTCCTGTGCAACCACTGGCACTAAAATTATGCTAACTTTGCTATTTGTTTTTTTCCCAGTTTCAAAGTTTATCTTATTAACTTAAAATTTAAACAAAATTGTTAGTCTAAACATCATTAAATGTACTCATGGGAAACATATTTACATAGAGAATAATAAAATATTTTTTTGTAACTTGAGGCACATTGTCCATTTTACAAATGTACTTTTAGAAAAACTGCTTTGAGAAACAATAATTTTTTCTGTCATCCTTCATAAAAGCTAGACACACATTTCTAATGCAAATTTCTTTTTTTTTCTACTTTGATGTGGAAGCTGGGAAGCTCGAATGTTTGCATTTTAATTTAACAATACGAAGAAAAATTTCATCTGTTTCTCTCTACATTGTTGGCCTTAGACTTACTGTAGCAGCCTCCATTCATATCTCTTACAGGGGTACCTTATAGTTTCATATCAGGTCATTCCTGTTCCTCTTTCCTTTTGTGATGCACCTCTTCTTGCTAAAGATTTTGGTCACTATCTTTTGTTTTGTGTTTACTTATTTTAGCTTGTATATAAGTTCTGTTCTACACAACATTTCTGATTTACATGTCAGGAAATGTGTGAAACAGTTTGCCACCTTCCTGACTGATCTGGGCCTAAACTTTGCCCCTATACTTTGAATAAACAGTTGCATTCTCTAACACATATTTTATTTGATCCAAACAATACATTAGTCCAACTACCAAACATATATCTTAGATCCTCTGTAGCTATAACATTTTCAACAGTCATATTTATGGAATCCATCTCCCTCTGTTATGTTTTTATTGTTATCCACATAGAGGAGATAGATATAAATGAACTCACTCTGGTCAGCCAGGGACCACACAGTGGCTTAAGATATCTTAATCCAGGTATCTGCAGACTAACCCTAACCTAACAGTGAGTTGCTACCTTTGTTTTTTTTTTCTCTAAGCATTAAAATACTTCTGTCATAGCTGCTTGCTTCTTGATCATAGGATCTCAGCCAAGGTTCATATTTGAATAACACAGAATGTTGGCCACAGAACTAAGGACTGGACATTTGGTCATTTGTGACTGTCGTTACAGGAAAGTAAATGGTTTTGTTACACTGCTTGTCAGGAAAAAGAATAGGAAGGCACCTTCTATCTCAGGCTCTTTTCCTTAAAGAAGGTAGGTTTAATGTAAAACCTGAATTGTGAGTAAGCCTGGGGATATCATTTTTAGCTGTTCCAAATTGAGCAAGTACTTAGTCAAACTACCAGAGTTTTGGAATATGCCTGAGTAAGCCAGTCTGAAATAGCCGATGGTCCAGCTTAAGACTATTCAATATCCATGCACCTGCCTTTTCTAAAGCTTAAACTTCAAAAGAGTAACAGTAACAAGTACATGATCCTGTCAAATATAATTCAAATATATGTTGCACAAATTAAAATGCAGTGGTCCTATCCAAAATAGGTATCCATGATATTCACTCCTCTTCGGATTCAGTCTCAACTATGTCTTAATATCCTGAAATAAGATAATAAATTATGAAGTTATTCAAACCAGCCTACCCTAAAAATGATGGGAAAAATGGAAGATAAAATAAGACAAACAATTATATACATGACAATGCAGAAGAGAAGAAAACCCAAGAATGTATTACATACTTAATTTTATAACTGATCATGGAACTGTGGATGGTATTTGTACCATTCTTTTTATATTATTCATTCCACACTTCTCTATAGTATCCTAAATTATCCAAGTTTCCACAGCAAGAGCCCACTCTTCATGAACAGTGCCCTTAGTTGTCTTGTCAAATTGGAGTTGTTTTAATCTTCCATTAATGTTTACCACTTGACAGAAAATCCAAAAGGCATCTGAGGAGTCCAACTCCAGGCAGAAACCCTATGTGTAACCTTTCAGGCCTAACCATAGGCCATGACAATGGCTTTACCTGGCAGGCCTCACTAGAGAAAGATACTCTCCCTATACCAGAATTGGCAAACAGCCAGTGCATTACAATATCTAATGGGAGCTGCAGTCTAGGACTCATTCCCCGCTAGCCAACCATCCTCCTGTGCATGTCTGCCATTCAAGTCTCAGGCACCCCCATCTGAGCTATCCTTATTAGGGACCCTCAATAGAAAACCTTTGCAGAGAACTCCTTATGATAGGGAGAGAGGGATAAGGGAGAGGAGAAAGGGGAAACATTGAAATCATTATTCTCTATTCTGAATCAGAACTCAGTATTTTCCCATTCTTAGCCCTTCCTCCTCTTTCTGTCCCAAGGACCCAGGTCCATAAGATGAAAGGAGCTTTTTGTTCATGGCTCCTTGGTCAAAAGATCCTTGCTGAGAAAATTCCCACATCTGCATTTGTGCTGATCTACATGACCTTGGCCTGGAGCTGTTTCATGGGACAAAATGGAACATTGGAGGAGCTAGCGATCTTTCCTCTTTAGTTTCTTGCTTAAACTATCTCAGTTAGTAAAGATTTGACTGTTACTGTCATTTTGGCTTATTGTTTTAATTAGCTATTTCAACTCCATGGCAGCTTAGCTCTTGACAGCATTCTGGAAAGGACATAGGATTCTAGACATTTTTACTGCTTTTGTTATATGAATTACATGTCTTCATAATAAGGAATTAAGGCTGGGAGTGGTCACTTGTAATCACAACACTTTGGGAGGCCAAGGCGGGTGGATCAACTGAGGTCGGGAGTTTGAGACCAGCCTGGCCAACGTGGTGACTGAAATCCCATCTCTACTAAAAACGCAAAAATTAGCCAGGCATGGTAAAGTGCGCCTGTAGTCCCAGCTACTCGGGAGGCTGAGGCGGGAGAATCACTTGAACCCGGGAGGCGAAGGTTGCAGTGAGCCGAGACGATAGTGCCATTTCACTCCAGCCTGGACGACAGAGCAAGACTCTGTCTCAATAACAATAATAAGAATAATAAGGATTTAATATCCAAACCATTCTTGTAACATATTTAATATTGCCATTCAGTGGTAAATAAAAATAATATACAATCATGCCCTGCCTAATAAGAACATTTCGGTCAATGATGAACTACCTACAGAACAGTGGTCCCATAAGATTATAATGAGCCAAACAATTCATATATATATATATGGAGAGAGGAGAGAGAGAAAGAGTTAACCATTAAACAGCCTCAGACAGGTCCTTGAGGAGGTATTCTATAAGGAAGCATTGTTATCGTAGAAGATGAAAGTTCCACGCATGTTATTGCCCTGGAAGACCTTCCAGTGGGACAAGATATAAAGGCAGAAGACAGTAATATTGATAATCCTGACCCTGTGTAGGCCTCAGCTACTGTATGTGTTTGTGTCTTATTAATAAAATGTTTTAAAAGTAAATAATATAAATTTAAAAACTTTATTTTTCTTTTTTTATTTTATTATTATTATACTTTAAGTTTTAGGGTACATGTGCACAATGTGCAGGTTAGTTACATATGTATACATGTGCCATGCTGGTGTGCTGCACTCATTAACTTGTCATTTAACATTAGGTATATCTCCTAAAGCTATCCCTCCCCACCTCACCCCACCCCACAACAGTCCCCAGAGTGTGATGTTCCCCTTCCTGTGTCCATGTGTTCTCATTGTTCAATTCCCACCTATGAGTGAGAATATGCGGTGTTTGGTTTTTTGTTCTTGCGATAGTTTACTGAGAATGATGATTTCCAATTTCATCCACGTCCCTACAAAGGACATGAATTCATCATTTTATGGCTGCATAGTATTCCATGGTGTATATGTGCCACATTTTCTTAATCCAGTCTGTCATTTTTGGACATTTGGGTTGGTTCCAAGTCTTTGCTATTGTGAATAGTGCCGCAATAAACATATGTGTGTGTGTGTCTTTATAGCAGCATAATTAATAATCCTTTGGGTATATACCCAGTAATGGGATGGCTGGGTCAAATGGTATTTCTAGTTCTAGATCCCTGAGGAATCACCACACTGACTTCCACAATGGTTGAACTAGTTTACAGTTCCACCAACAGTGTAAAAGTGTTCCTATTTCTCCACATCCTCTCCAGCACCTGTTGTTTCCTGACTTTTTAATGATTGCCATTCTAACTGGTGTGAGATGGTCTCTCATTGTGGTTCTGATTTGCATTTCTCTGATAGCCAGTGATGGTGAGCAATTTTTCATGTGTTTTTTGGCTGCATAAATGTCTTCTTTTGAGAAGTGTCTGTTCATGTCCTTTGCCCACTTTTTGATGGGGTTGTTTGTTTTTTTCTTGTCAATTTGTTTGAGTTCATTGTAGATTCTGGATATTAGCCCTTTGTCAGATGAGTAGGTTGCAAAAATTTTCTCCCATTTTGTAGGTTGCCTGTTCACTCTGATGGTAGTTTCTTTTGCTGGGCAGAAACTCTTGAGTTTAATTAGATCCCATTTGTCAATTTTGTCTTTTGTTGCCATTGCTTTTGGTGTTTTGGACATGAAGTCCTTGCCCATGCCTATGTCCTGAATGGTAACGCCTAGGTTTTCTTCTAGGGTTTTTATGGTTTTAGGTCTAAGGTTTAAGTGTTTAATCCATCTTGAATTAATTGTTGTATAAGGTGTAAGGAAGGGATCCAGTTTCAGCTTTCTACATATGGCTAGCCAGTTTTCCCAGCACCATTTATTAAATAGGGAATCCTTTCCCCATTGCTTGTTTTTCTCAGGTTTGTCAAAGATCAGATAGTTGTAAATATGCGGCATTATTTCTGAGGGCTCTGTTCTGTTCCATTGTAGAAAAAAGCTTATATAATAAGGGTATAAAGAAAGAAAATATTTTTTGTACAGATGTTCAATGTGTTTGTGTTTTAAACTAAGCGTTATTGCAAGAGTCAAAAAAATTATAAAGTAAAAAAGATACAGTAAGCTAAGGTTATTTTATTATTACAGAATAGTTTTTAGAAATGTAATGTAGCCTAAGTGTACAGTGTTTATTAAGTCTACAGTAGTGTTCAGTAATATCTAAAGACTTTGCTTTCTCTCACCACTCACTCACTGTCTCATCCAGAGCAACTTCTAGGCCTGCAAGTGCCATTTATAGTAACCATCCTATACAGGTGTGCAACTTTTTATTTTTTATACCATATCTTTTTATTGTATGTTTTCTATGTTTAGATATAAAGATGTTTATCATTGTGTTTCAATTGGCTACATTATTTAATATAGTAACCTGATGTAAGGGCTTGTAGCCTAAAAGCAATAACTTCTACCTTATTGCCGAAGTGTGTAGTAGGCTACACCATCTAGGTTTGTAAAAGGACACTATGATGTTCACCTAGGGAACACATTTCTCAGAATGAATTCTCATCATTAATCAACTCAAGACTGTACTTATAAGTGAATCCACTGTCATTACTATAGTTCAGGTCACCTTAAGTTTCTTCTTGGACTTGCCAATGAACTGTGGAATTAAGAAGCTCTCTGCCTACAGTCTTGTTTATCTATTGTAATCTGTTTCTTGTAGTCCCTATTTTAGATCTCATTAATGTCTTGTCACTTCCATTAGAATAAATTATAAACACTTTGGATGGCCTGAAGACATTTGTAATTTATCCTAAACTCATCTCTACTCTCATCGCTTGACATCTCCCTCTTCTACCCACACATATATATTTAAGCCCACGTAATTACTGCAATTACCCCAAATTCTGTACTTCTCACCAGTGTCTTGCAAAACCCACTCCATCTAACTAATAAGACTTTTCATTTAACTCTCCAGTTGTAGTTGATATTCTAGTTTCAAACTCTATTTTCTCTGTGAAGGCTGTACTGATATCACAATTTTGTTTCTTCAGTGTGAGCATTGGCAGCCTGTGGCCTATGGTTTTGGTACAGCCTGCAAGGTAATAATGGTTTTTAGAGATTTAAATGATTGAAACAATTTTTTAAAATAACATTTTGTAGCATATAACGATTGCAGAAAGTAAAAACTGCAGTGTTTTCATAAATAACAAGGTTTTTTTTTGGACACAAGATCATTCACTTACATGTGGTCTATAGATGTTTTCAGGCTATTATGTCAGAGTTGAGTGGTTGCAACAGAAACTGCATGATTGTCAAAGCCTAACATACTTAAAATCTGACCCTTTGTAGAAAAAGCTAACATTTGATCTAAAGTTTTCTGTAAAGATACATCTACATTATGTTTATCGTAATTTATATTTATCTGCCTACTGTTTGCAGTTTTGAAAAACTATAATCTTCCAGAAAATGGAAACTATAATATTTTTAATTAGACCTCAAGCAAAATTATTTTAAAATGTGGTCTCAATTTTTAAGAAAGTGGGGAAGAATGCTTTTTTTTCTTTTGTTAAACTTCTTTGCTTCCAGTCCAAGAAGTGACTGTCATTTATTTTTATCTTATTGCTTCCTTTCTCATATTAGCTTGATAAAAAGTAATGAAATAATATTCAGGTTTCTTAGTAGAGTCATGTTGTAAACATAAACTTTTTTTTTCTAGCCACTCTCAAAAAATGGAAAGCATCTGCTTTATGAGTCACCTAATTAATGACATTGAATTATCTAGTAAGTGGACTCTTCAGGTTAATTAAATATCTTCATTAACTTTTTCACTGCTTTTAAAAATAACATTTACACATTTATGCTAATAGGTTCATCATGTGTCCTTAATCAGTTATTTAGCTTTGGTGCAGAGTTAATAATTCCAATATTTGTTCAAACTGAAGAAAATCCAGGACTCAAAAAAGAAAGGATATTTTTATTCAGGTTTTGAGAAAATCATAAGTAAAACCCCCAACTTATTTATCAATAATTGTATGTTACATACATTTCCATATTTACAATTTTGATAAAATAGTTAAAATTAATATTTATCTTTAATAATTTAAATATTAATTAGTTATGTATTTATTGGCTCATATTATTTACATTATATATATATTTATATAATTTGCAGTCTGACAATGCAATAGAAAAAAAACCAAAACATTTTCTGAGAAGAAATTCAAGCCAGCTGCAGAAATGTGCATAAGTAACAAGAAGCCAAATCATAATCATGAAGACAATGGGAAAAATGTCTCTAGGCCATGTCCTAGGTCTTCACAGCAGCCCCTCCCATCACAGACCCAGAGGCCTCGGGGGAAAAAATGTTTTCTGGGGACAGGCCCAGGGCCCCTCTCTGTGTGCAGTCTAGGGACTTGGTGCCCTACATCCCAGCCACTCCAGCTGTGACTAAAAGGGACCAAGGTACAGCTTGGGCCAGGGTGTCAGAGGTTGCAAGCCCCAAACCTTGGCAGCGTCCATGTGGAGTTGAGCCTGCATGTGCACAGAAGTCAAGAAGCAAGGCTTGGGAGCCTCAGCCTAGATTTCAGAGGATGTATGGAAATGCCTGGATGTCCAGGAAGAAGTTTGCTGTGGGGGAGGGGGGGTGATCATGGAGAGCCTCTGCTAAGGAAGTGGGGAAGGGAAATGTGGGGTTGGAGCCCCACACAGAGTCCCCACTGAGGCGCTGCCTGTGCGAGAAGAGGACCACCATCTTCCAGACCCCAGAATGGTAAATCCACTCACAGCTTGCATATGCACCTAAAAAAACCTCAGTTGCTCAACACCAGCCTGTGAAAGCAGCTAGGTGGGAACCGTACCTTTCAAAGCCACAGGGGCAGAGCTGCCCAAGTCCATGGGAGCCCACATCTTGCATCAGCATGACCTGGATGTTAGACATGGAGTCAAAGGAGATCATTTTGAAGCGTTAAGATTCAACTGCCTTGCTGGAGTTTGGACTTGCATGCGGCCTGTAACCCCTTTATTTTGGCCAATTTGTCCTGTTTGGAATGGGTATAGTTACCGAATGCCTGTACCCCCATAGTATCAAGAAAGTAACTAACTTTCTTTTGATTTTACAGGCTTATAGGTGGAAGGGACTTGTCTTGTCTCAGATGAGACTTTGGACTGTGGACTTCTGAGTTAATGCTGAAATGAGTTAAGACTTGAGGAACTGTTGGGAAGGTATGATTGGTTTTGAAACTTGAGGACACATTTAGAGGGGACACAGGCAAAATAATATGGTTTGGCTCTGTGTCCCCACCCAAATCTCATCTTGAATTGTAGTTCCCATAATTGCCATGCGTTATGGAAGGACCTAGTGGGAGATAATTGAATCATGGAGGCAGTTTCCCCTATACTGTCCTTGTGGTAGTCAGTAAGTCTCACACGACCTGATGGTTTTATAAGGGGTTTCTGCTTTTGCTTGGTCCCCATTCTCTCTCTTGCCTGTTGCCATGTAAGACATGACTTCTGCCTTCCACTATGATTGTGAAGTCTCCCCAGTCATGTGGAACTGTGAGTTCATTAAACCTCTTTTTCTTTATAATTTACCCAATCTCAGGTATGTCTTTATCAGCAGTGTGAAAACAGACTAATACACTGTCTTTAACATTTTTTCTATTGTTTTGACCTTGGAAACTGATGATTATTTGTCTTCAAGATGATCTTTTTGTGGAGTATCTTACTGAAGTTCTCTGTATTTCTTGAATTTGAATGTTGACCTCTCTATCTAGGTTAGGGAAGTTCTCATGGATGATATTTTGATCCATGAGATCAAAAATATCAAAAGTCAACTTTTGCTAAGTTGACTCCATTTTCTCTATCCTTTTTAGGTACACCAGTTGTAGATTCAGTCTCTACATAATCCCATATTTCTCAGAGGTTTTGTTCATTCTTTTTCATTCTTTTTTTCTATTCTTATCTGCCTATCTTATTTCAGAAAGCCATTCTTTAAGCTCTTAGATTGTTTCCTCCATGTGGTTTATTCTGCTGTTAATACTTACGATTGCATTGTGAAATTCTTGTGGTGTTTTTCAGCTCTATCAGGTTGGTTATGTTCTCTATACTGGCATTTTGTCTGCCAGGTCATGCAATGTTTTATTGTGATTTTTAGCTCTGTTGTATTGGCTTACAACATACTCCTATAGCTCAATGAATTTTATTACTGTTTACATTCTGAATGCTATTTCTGCCATTGCAGCCTCAGCCCTGTTCTGAACCCTGGCTGGAGAGGTGATGCAGTTATGTGGAGGTAGGAAGTTACTCTGGCTTTTTGAGTTTTCAGTATTCTTGCACTGATTCTTTCTCATCTTTGTGCACTTATCTAACTTCAGTCTTTGAGATTGCTTACCTTTGGACGGTATTTTGTTTTCTTTCATCCTATTTGATGATGTCGAAGATTTGTTTGTGTTATAAGGTAGATTCAGCTGACTGGCTTCATTTCTGGGAGATTTTATGGCACCAACATTCAGCTCCCAACTTCTGGACTGGGTGCTCTAACTCTGGGGTACTTGTATTAGGCCCCAGCTTTGTTCTCTTGTGTCGGGTCCATCCCGCACACTCTGGCTGAGCGACCAATGAAAAAAGTATTCAGACACAGTTATTTTGCCTGAGAATGCAGCTAGGGGACTGCACTGCTTAGCATCACCAATGAGAGTACAGTCCCACTAAGCCAGAGAACTTTGTATTAATTTAGTACAGATTTGAAGACAAAGGCCTGGAGCAAACACAATTTGTGGGAAATTAACATTGTTGACCCCTAAGTAGAGAGCAGTCTTGCACATGAATGATCAAAGGTTGGTTTCCTGAGACATAAGTAAACCAATTTTTCTAGATATGTTTCTTTACATTCCCTTGTTATCTAACCTTTGCCCTTAAGAGAATTTAGCTGCCTTCAGCTAAATTATTCTCCAAAGTTTTTGGCCTTCCAAGAAGGTTTGCATTTTTCCCTATAACTTTTCTTACATCTTCTCCCATCACCCTTGAGGCTGGAAATTAAAGAAAGAAAAGTAAAATTAAAAAGAGAAAGAAACAATCTTTCTGTATTAGGCTGACTCATCCCAAAGGCAGTAACAGGCAAAGCCCAGACCCAGGCAAAGTCTCGATAGCATTATCTAAGAAGATGGGGCTCAAAGAATGTGCTCTGGAGAGTCTCCCAGGGCTCCCTCAACATAGGGAGAAGAAAAACAAATTTTCCTTTCTCTTTTGATTCTGTTATTCATCTAAGCAGCACAGTGAAGATCATGAGACACCTGAGCAGGCCTGGATTGCAGTCCCCTAGATGCCATAGCAAATGTTATGAGATAAGCCCATGCAAAGCACTGGAACAAGCCTAGATAACAGCTATCTGGGCTGCATAGCAAGAGTCATATGTAAGCCTGAGTTGTGAACTTGTCGTAGTATGATTGACTGCCTTTGTTCTTCTTCTGTATCCTTGCTTTTGAATCATTATACTTTGCACCACTGTAAGCTTGTTTCAAGTTAGACCACCCCCTTTTAGAAGTGTGCGTAAA